>NC_000010.11:79840064-79991580 GCF_000001405.40 Homo sapiens
GAGAATCTTGAGAAAGCATCAGCTGACTGACTTGACAAGGGAGGAAGCAACCAAAAATTCTGCGCTTCTTCAGTATCTGAGTATGATATTTTGCTTCAACATCCCTCTTAGATGAAGTTATTGATTGAAAATCATTTAAGTTTGCCCCATGGTAAAAGATCAAGTCCTCAGAAAGATCTCCAAAGTGTTTACAGTTTGTTTTGTTTTGGTAAGTTTACCATGATTTTGCTTGAATTGCTCTCCGTTGATCTTCTCAGCTAAGATGGAGGTAGAGTTGCACAGTGGAAGAGGGCTGCATGTAAGAAGGCAGTTCTGTCTCAGAGGACAAAAGGCCTGGGAGCACCCAGACAGACAGTCACTGCATGGAGGTCACTCCCCTCCCAGTGGCCACTGTGGAGACATTTCACAGAAATGCTTGCTGGACCATTCAGGTTCAGAGTTGGGACAAAACCGAGAACTCATGGGGATATTGGACAGGAGTTAGGAAATGACCTTCTCACACAACTGGGGCAGTGGGGGAGAACCCTGGGCTTGAGACTTGCAATCCACCACTTGCCCCTGCCCCTGCCCCTGCAGTGTGGCCGCTGTTACATTTTCCTGCAACTCTGCCTTCTTGAGTCCAAGTGTCTTCGAAAGGGCAAATGCTTCGTAAGTGCCGACAGGGTGTGTTTCAGTGAATGTTTGCAGTGTGCACCGGTCTGGCTGAAGGCCTCTTCCCTTCCCCAACACCCTCCCATCGTGCAAAATTACCCTGCCCAGCAGGGAGTGATTTGTGTGTCTCAGAAGATTTTGTTGCTGTGCTCTGAGTTCTCACTCCTCATCTCCTTTGACCAGTTTCTTCTAATACTCCCCTTGTTCACAACACAGAACATGAGTGCTCTTTCCTATCATTTTGATACTAATAAACGGACAGTGATTCTCAGTGTGGAAATGAGAATGAAGCTTTTTTTAAAGACAGGCTACAATAATTCCCATGCAGAGAACCACATGCCATGACACTGGATTCCAAACAGCAAGAACGTATGGTGAAGACGAGGCCAACAGTGAGCTGAGAGAGGCCAGCCAGGGTGTGTTTCAGTGAAGATGAGAAACAATCAGATAACACCTGTTTCCTCCAGGAAAGAAAATGTGGCCAGGGAAAAGAGATGGGAGGAAGGCTGGTCATTGCCTATTCCACTGTGCACAGTTTGAATTTGGAGCCATGAAAAGTATTGCTTGGTTAAATTAAAATCATTCAAAAGATAAAACATAAACATTTAACACCAGCACAATATGCTGGGAAACAAAATGAAAGGATTTCTGGTCTCGGTGCTGTAGGTCACATAGCCACTCTTTCCTGGATTGAGGCTTTCCAGCAAAGGGGCTGGGACGTAAGGCTGGCCTGCTGGTGTGGACAGAGATTCCAGCAACATGCATGACCTGGGGGTACAAGGATTGCTTCCTAAACAATGATAAGCACACAGCCACCTAATAGTCTGGATCGGCTGAGACCATCCTGATTTCAAACACCCAGTCCCCTTGCCTTCCTAAGAACCCCTGTGTTTCTCAGACTGAAAATGTGTTTTGAACTTTGTTCACGAAGTGAGGCCGCTGTTGAAATTCGTCAAGACTGGGAAAGAGCCAAAGTGGGAAGGAGCATGGGTTGATTGGCACAAAAGTAGGTCTGCTGATAAAGAATGGAAGTAAAGGGGCCATCAGGTAGAAGCTTTTGCTGTGAGTCAGAAGGACAATTTAAAAGTTGCCTAAAGAGGCACACGCCATCTCTGCTGCTGCCTTCCAGTTGGAAGGGAAACTCAGGTTCTTGCCTAATGGCCGAAGCCCTTCACAGAACGTCCCCCACCCCTAACAGCTGCCCACTGCCCCTCCCCCTCTGCAGAATGTCTGGGGTCCTATGTTCCAGGAACCTGTTTACTTTCAAATTTTCCCTGTTTCAGTTGGACTCAGGAGCATCTGGTGAGCCAGGTCACTCTCTGGGTCTTACCCTTGGCTTTTCTTATTGCGGAAACTGCCAGACGGCGGTGGTCAGTGCCCAGCCTGAGGGGATGGCTTCGAATGGAGGTAAGCCTGTAGGGATGGGGGCATTATCTGAGTCTGCCATGCCTCAACTCCTTAGGAATTCAAATTTGACACTGCCCCGGGGACAGTTGATAGGGCTGATGTTGAGGAGGGAGGGAAGACTGGATGTCCCCAAGGACATCACACCTGGGGATGGCCATGGCACCCTGAGTCTGTGTTTAGGGAGGACGGCCTCTTAGAGGTGGAACAAGATGGCTGGGGGAATACACCGTGTAGGAGAAAGGACAGAGTGGATGGATTGATCCTTTCTAGAAGGAGACAGGTCACGTCATTGTGTGTTTGTAGGGAGTGGTGGGATCATGTTGTGCTGGTGGCCCCGGGAGGATGATAGGCAAGCCTGAACCCTGTGCCATATCTTCAGGCACCTGGAAGGTGCCCTTCCATAGTGTTCAGAGAGATTTGGACTGGAGTTTTCTAGATCTTAGGGAGGAGTGGGGAGAAGTGGTCTCAGCCAGAAAACTGTTGGGTGGGTTGGCTGTGACAGAGCATGTAGTGACAGCCCCTGGGTGGGCGAGGCTGGGGGCTGCTGTAACTGCCACAGCCCAGAGCCCCTCAGCTCTCTCCCTAGAGATGGCTTCTCCGTCAGTTCAGGTAGCTGTTGGCTTTGATTTAACAGGGGTGGGGGCAGATGAGGAAGTTCAGGCAACACAGGGCCTGGGTTTCCTGAGTTGTTCTGAATTGTTTGCCCTTTTGTGGAAGCTCAGGTCTTCAGACCCACTTCCTCTTGTCTGCTAGCTCATGGCCTGTCCTCTGCACTTTGTGTTACTGTGGAGATGAAGAATTTGCTCCTATTCCATTTATACTACCTCATGAACGGGGGGCAGGTGTGGATTCTTGCTGGTTCTCAGTGGAAGGGTCTGGAAAGGCTGGTTTCCTTTTCAGTAGAGGAAGGAGAGTAGCGCACGAATAGGAAGATGGTTCTCTTATTATTATTATTCAAGTTAGGATACGTGTCCTGAATGATGAGGTGCATGTGCTGTATCCCTTATTCCCCTTGACTAGAGACTGCATGAGGTCCTATTGAACAGGGATGAGTTCCAGACAACTTTGCCTCACCCGGCCCATGGCCCAAGAACCCCTGGTTTTTGGTTGGTCACTATGTTCAGTTATTGGGAGCTCAAAGGAGAAGGGCCAGGGATGGGCTCCTTGTCCCACTACCTATTGTAACATGACCAGCAGCTGTGAAAATCCCTAGACACCTCCCCTGTTAGCTCTGCTGCTCACCATTTGCTGGCTGTGTTCTAATCGTGTGTGGCTTTTGCTGGCTATGCAGTGACACTGTCTCAGGGGACTCCACCACTGCCTCTCAGACCTGCTCCCTGGGAACAGAGCTTCCTGAGTGACAGCCGGGACCATCGAGTACTGCGGAAAGGGTGGCCCGAATCTGACCCCTATTTAGCACTTGCTGTGGGTGGTGCCAGGACAATCACTTGCATGCTGGGCATGACGAGTTATGGATTATCTTCAGGGTTCCTAGGGCGCTGGCTTGGGAAAGATTTCCATCCAGTGGTTTTGTTTTGGTATGTCTGAGCTGGGAAAGAAAGGGGTTTACAAGAGCGTCAGGAAAAGGAAGATTGAAGAGGAGATGGGGCCATAACATTCGGAAGCTTCTGGCTTCCTGTCGGCCTTCTGAGTGCCGAGCACTGCCCTGGGGTAGGCCCCTCACCTGTTGCTGAGCACGCTGAGGACCACCAGGCCGCTGAGAGACTCATCCCTGACCCATGGCTTGGGAGATGCCTGTGAGGCTGACAGGGTCTGCCAGGGACACCCGAGGGAGACCCTCGGGCAGCAAAGGCTTGGCTGTTACTTCTTGGGAGACAGGGGTCAGGGAGTCTTGGTGACCGGGGCCAGGCTCTCTAGTGGAGCGACTCTCCGTGGAGGAACAGAGCATCCGATGCACACTCAGGGACATTTGCAAGCTGCAGTTTCCCTGTCATACGCCCTTAGCTGTTGGGACTCCCCTCTGATTCCCCAGTGACTAGTGTGGACCTGGAGACCCCAGCTCATTCACCTCTTTCCTTTGTCTCCACAGCATACCCAGTGCTGGGACCGGGCGTGACCGCGAACCCTGGCACCTCCCTGTCTGTGTTCACGGCTCTGCCCTTCACCACACCCGCTCCCGGCCCAGCACACGGGCCGCTCCTTGTGACTGCAGGGGCTCCTCCAGGCGGCCCTCTGGTGCTGTCTACCTTCCCCAGCACACCTCTGGTGACAGAACAGGATGGCTGCAGCCCGAGTGGGGCCGGGGCTTCCAACGTCTTTGTCCAGATGAGGACAGAGGTGGGGCCTGTGAAGGCCGCTCAGGCGCAGACCTTGGTCCTAACTCAGGCCCCCCTCGTCTGGCAGGCTCCAGGCGCCCTCTGCGGAGGTGTTGTGTGTCCACCTCCCCTACTCCTGGCAGCTGCTCCTGTGGTGCCTGTTATGGCTGCCCAGGTGGTTGGGGGCACCCAGGCCTGTGAGGGAGGCTGGTCCCAGGGCCTTCCTCTTCCACCACCACCACCACCGGCTGCCCAGCTGCCCCCCATTGTGTCCCAAGGGAATGCTGGGCCATGGCCACAAGGGGCTCATGGAGAGAGCAGCCTGGCTTCCTCCCAGGCCAAGGCCCCGCCAGATGACTCCTGTAACCCCAGGAGTGTCTATGAGAACTTCCGACTCTGGCAGCACTACAAGCCCCTGGCCCGGAGGCACCTTCCCCAGAGTCCTGACACCGAAGCGCTTTCGTGCTTCCTCATGTGAGTGTCCTCGGGGCATTGGAGCTGGTCCTGCAGCTCACACGTAAAGAGGCTGCTGGATGGACGGGAGGTCACGCTGTTCAGGGGAGCTTGCAGGGCGGTTGTGAGGGTGATGGGCTGCACTATGGGAAGGTACATTTTCAACCATATTAATCTGGCTGCGGCTCAGGACAGACTGTCAGGGGCCTCATCTCAACTGCCCGTCACTGTCCCGTGAGTCCAGCCAATCCTTACTTTCAATAATTTTCACAACAATGTTTACAGAAGACCCAGGTCAGAGAGGGTTCCTGGTGTGACGTGAGCTACGGTTTGGGTTTAGGTCTTTGAGTACACACCCCAGTGCCTCCCCTTTAACCCAGTATTGATGGCCAGGAGCACCTCACATGGGGCCGGGGGGAGGAGCTGCAGGGCCCAGCAGGAACCTGGCACATGCCCGCAGTTCCGCTGAGGTCCAGTTAGCACAGCGGTGGTGGAGCCTGCACAGGGGGATGGTCTCGGGCCCTGCACTGGGGCCGATGCCGGGCAGGTATTTGCATCTTCACCCTCAATCCCTCCTAGAAAAAGGGACAATGATGCTTCATTCAGAGGATGGTGAAGAGATAACTTGAGCTCACATATGACATGCATAGCACAGTGCCTGGCACATGCTATGATACATTACATGACAGCAGTTACGATTACTGTCCCCATTACTATCATTATCAAGACTAGGCCATCTAGGAGAGCACTCCCCAAAGCCACGGGCTCCAGTGATAGCTCTGAGTGCACCATGAGTCCAGCAGCCCAGGGCCATGGACTGTGGTGACTGTGAGGCAGCAACGTCAGCATCTGGGAGAGTTTGTGGTTTCATTCCCAGTCCCTGCCTCTCTCCACCCTGCGGTGCCTCTGTGACCCTGTGTTTCCCGCTGATGAGCAAACGGGAGCTTGAGCACATCCACCGTGCAACACACTGGCCGTTCCCCTAGGGAAGTCCCCTGCCTGGGGTGTAGGTGGAAGGTGGCCCCATTTTCATCCCCCAAAATCTCGCTGTTCCCGCACCCTGGAACTGGTTGCATTCCTCCTTGGAGCGGAGTCCCGGTGCACTGGGGACCCTGATTCTTGGGGTGGAGCTGCCCCAGGCTCACAGGCCTTTGCCATGGCTCCTGTGGGAATGTGGGATCTGGACCTGCTGCTTGCAGTGGCGTGGACACCGCTCTGCTTTGGTTCTGGACGTGTGCTCCTGCTCCTCATGCTCCAGGGCCCTGAGGCTACGTCCCCAGGGGCTGCCTTGCTCCAGAGTCCCCAGGAAGCCGGTTAAATGCTCAGTCTTGGGGCCCTGGAACCTGCACTTTAACCCTCACCCCCAGGTCATTCTGTGTGCACGCTGTCTCAGTCAGCTCAGGCTCTGCCGTAACGAATGCCGTAGACTGGGTGCTTTATCAAGACACATTCATGTCTCCCAGTTCCAGAGGCCAGAAGTCCCAGATCAAGGTGACAGCAGATTGGGTGTCTGGTCAGGGCCCTCCTCCTGGCTGGAGAGAGCTGTCTCTGGCTATGTCTCCTCGTGGCTGAGAGCAAGAGCCCTGGCGTCTCCTTCTGCCCTTATCAGGGCTTGGATTCCATGACTGGGACCCACGCTCATGACCTGCTTTAACCCTGATTGCCTCCAAATACTGACACACTGGTGCTGAGGGCTTCAGCACAGGAATGTTGGAGACACACATGTTCCACCCATAGTACTGAGTCCACTTCTCAACACTGAGGACTCGAGGGGCAGTCGGAGAGGCCACTTGGTAGCTTGTGTTGATGTTTGATCTTGGGGTTGTGTTCTGGGGCCTGAGGAGCCCACATGGGGGAGAACAGGACAGGGACAGATGGCAGGACAGGTGTGGGGAGGACAGGGGCCAGGTGTTGGGACCAGGTGGGCTTGGGATGAAGGGTGGGCTTATAGACTGAGACTGACTGCACTGGTTTACAGCCCAGTTCTCCGATCGCTGGCCCGGCGGAAGCCCACCATGACCCTGGAGGAGGGACTGTGGCGGGCCATGCGGGAATGGCAGCACACGAGCAACTTTGACCGGATGATCTTCTACGAGATGGCGGAAAAGTGAGTCTGGGGTCCTGGGAGCAGGGCCCGCGTGGCAGGGTGAGAGTGAATGACAGAGGCCCGGTGGCCGTGGTGGCTTCTCAACGTGGAGTATGAGGAGGGTGTGGAGAAACCCAGGACACTCTGGGCCCCTGGCTCCCTCAGGAAGCTGCTCCTGCCACCTAGAGTGTTCTGGGGTCTCTGTCCTGGCCTATTGGGAAGCACCCCCTGCCTGGCCTGGGGCCATCCCTGCCTTGACACTGGAGGTCATGGCAGGAGCAGCCAGCATCACAGCCCAAAGTGGGTCACCTCCAGCTGTGGGGATGGGGAGAAGGGGCGCTAGTGACTATGGACAAGAGTAGGGTGCAGGCTCCTCACAGCAGTGGCCAGAAGTCGGTTTTCTCCCATCCCAGCCTGGCCAGGGAGTTGGGTTGGGGAGATCTGCACCTGGGACACCATGGGACCCATCTCTGGCCTGACTGCCTTTGCTCCTGGGCAGTCCCCTCCATGAAGGCAGACAGATAGACAGCAGCCTCAGGGGAAAGGAGCCCTGTCCTCTGAGCTCAGCTTTTGCTTCCTCCTGACCAGGGGTCTCCCAGGCCTCGTGCCCCTGGGTTATCTTTCAGGGGCCCACAGTCCTAGCCTCAGGACTCCTGCATCTGGGCATCATCCCTGATGCCTTCTGCCATAAATCCCACCCCTGGCCAGCTGAAACCTGGAGGAGGGGTCCCCCGAGACCCTCCTGGACCTCGTGGCCCTGAGTTGAGTCAGGAAGCCCCGTTGATGCCATGGGCTCTGCAGGGGCCGGGTGAGGGAGGGTGAGCCCAGAACTCTGGGAGCAGCTTTCTCCTGGGACTGGGGGATGGGACACAGTGAGGGCCTGGACAGCCCACCCGAGGCACTCCCTCCTATCCCTGCCCTCGGCCGCTGCCTGGTCCTGCGGGGAGGGGGCCTGGACCCTCTCAGCACAGCCTGGGCCTCCTTCACCGCCAGGTTCCTGGAGTTTGAGGCTGAGGAGGAGATGCAGATTCAGAAATCGCAATGGATGAAGGGGCCCCAGTGCCTGCCTCCTCCAGCCACACCGAGGCTTGAACCTCGAGGACCCCCGGCCCCTGAGGTGGTCAAGCAGCCAGGTATGGCTTCCCACATTCCCACAGGAGCCATGGCAAAGGCCAAAAGGGCCAAGGGAGGCCACTGTCCCCACACCCCATGCTTCCCTTCGAGAGGGGGATTTGCTCCCTCCAACAGGACAGTTTCCAGGAGCATATGTTCGGTATTGACCTGGTCAAGTTTCCTAGCTACTCTCTCCCCTCGCCTGTCCAAAACTCCACATATGCTCTGCCCAGGAAGCAGGGATGAGCGGGGAGAGTACACGGCATATTGGTGGCTCCAAACTTCCTCCCAAGCGATGCTGTCTCAGATGTGCCCCTCCTGCCTCCTCCGGGGGCGCTGCGGTTCAGGTGGTCCTGACCCAGCTGGGACCCACTTCACATCCCCAAGCCCTGCCCTCCCCTGTGTGGTGCGAGCAGGAGGAGCGGCCCTCACCACGCCCGTCCTCCTCCCTCTCTGCCTCAGTGTACCTTCCCAGCAAGGCCGGCCCCAAGGCCCAGACTGCCTGCCTGCCACCACCCAGACCCCAGAGGCCAGTGACCAAGGCCCGCCGGCCACCACCCCAGCCCCACCGGCGAGCAGAGACCAAGGCCCGCCTGCCACCACCCAGGCCCCAGAGACCAGCAGAGACCAAGGTCCCTGAGGAGATCCCCCCAGAAGTGGTGCAGGAGTATGTGGACATCATGGAGGAGCTGCTGGGGCCTTCCCTCGGGGCCACGGGGGAGCCCGAGAAACAACGGGAAGAGGGCAAAGTGAAGCAGCCACAGGAAGAGGACTGGACGCCCCCAGACCCGGGCCTCCTGAGCTACATTGACAAGCTGTGTTCCCAGAAAGACTTCGTCACCAAGGTGGGCTGGCCTGGAGTGCTGGGGTCTGCTGGATTCCAGGGGCTGGCACTCCCAGGTCCTTGGAATTAAGCTCTGTTCCTTAGCTACTCAGCAGTGTGTGTATTTCCATGGATTTGAGTGTCTGTGTATGTGATTGTGTGTGTCTGTGTGTTTGTGTCTGTGGTTTGTTACTGTGTGTCTTTGTGTGTCTGTGTAGGTGTGAGTGTGGAGTGTGTACGTTACCTGTGTCTGTGTCTTTTCCTGTGTCATATGTGGGTCTGTTTGTGTGTCTGTGTGTGGTTTGTGTGTCTCTGTCTGTGTGTGTGTAGCTACCAGGTCTGTGGTCTGTGTCTGTAGCTGGTGGTCACCATGATATGAGACAGCCCCAGGAGGGTGGGGACGGGGCGCTCGCTGCTTTCTGCATCTCCTCCAGGTGTCCTTGGCTCCAGGTTACTCCGTGCCCAGGAAGCTCACACCTTCTTCCTTCTGTTTCCAGGTGGAGGCCGTCATTCATCCCCAATTCCTGGAAGAATTGCTTTCCCCAGATCCACAGATGGATTTCTTGGCCCTAAGCCAGGACCTGGAGCAGGAGGAAGGACTCACCCTTGCCCAGGTACCCCAGGGGCAGGAGGGACCTGGCACACAAGGCCCACCTGATTGTCTAATCCCCCCCGCTGGGGATGCTCGGCTTCTTGGGGAGCCACTCTGGAGTGGGAAGATGCAGGTTCAGAGGGAGTAGGATGGACAGGAGCCAGGGAGGGGAGTCAGCATGCAAGCTGTGGTGAGGCCCAACGGGAGGCCCGGCAGAGCCACACCCTCTCTCTTTGACATAAAGCCCAGCTGCCTCAGGCTTCCCTACCTGCCGCCTAAGTGCCCTGGTCTCCACCACCCTGGGCCCTGCTCACACCTGGGGCAGTGCCAGTAAGTGCCCCCTTTCCTCCCGCAGCTAGTGGAGAAGCGCCTCCCACCCTTGAAGGAGAAACAGCATTCGAGGGCAGCCCCTAGTCGTGGCACAGCCCGGTTGGACTCAAGTTCTTCTAAGTTTGCAGCTGGCCAAGGAGCAGAGAGAGACGTCCCTGACCCCCAAGAAGGGGTTGGCATGGAAACCTGCCCACCCCAGACGACTGCCCGGGACTCTCAGGGACGAGGCAGAGCACACACTGGCATGGCCAGGTCCGAAGACTCTGTTGTGCTTTTGGGATGTCAGGATTCCCCTGGGCTGAGGGCTGCCCGGCCAACCTCTCCTCCCCAGGACCACAGACCCACCTGCCCTGGCGTGGGTACCAAGGATGCCTTGGATCTCCCTGGAGGGTCTCCTGTCAGGGAGTCACATGGGCTGGCTCAGGGGTCAAGTGAGGAGGAGGAACTCCCCAGCCTGGCCTTCCTCTTGGGTTCCCAGCACAAGCTTCTGCCCTGGTGGCTACCCCAGAGCCCTGTCCCTGCCTCGGGCCTTCTCAGCCCAGAAAAGTGGGGACCCCAGGGAACTCATCAGTCCCCATCTGCTGAGAGAAGAGGCCTCAACCTAGCACCTTCTCCTGCCAACAAGGCCAAGAAGCAACCTCTCTTTGGAAGCCTGTCCCCTGCTGAAAAGACACCCCACCGAGGGCCTGGGCTCAGGGTCTCTGGGGAGCAATCCCTGACTTGGGGGCTGGGTGGCCCCTCACAGTCTCAAAAGAGAAAGGGTGACCCCTTGGTCTCCAGGAAGGAGAAGAAGCAGCATTGTAGCCAGTAGGGGCTTCTGAGCAGGCTCTCTGGGGCCAATCCCCAAGGATGGGGCTCTGGCATCCGATGCCCCAAAGCGGTCAAAAGCTTCTTCTCCCCCAGTGCTGATCTTGCTGGGCCTTAGCTTTGGAGGGTAGGGGAGGGAGGGGAGGGAGAGGGTGGCTGAATGGGGAGGGCAGGAAGGGAGGGTCTGGGGGGAAGGGGCTGGGGAGTGGGGGTGGGAAGCAGTGTGTTGGGGGCCTCGTGTGTAAGTGTGAATAAATGTAGTTGTCTTGGAAAATGCTCTTGGGGCTGCTGCCTCTGTCCTCGGTGCTGTGCTGCTCCGTGGAGGGTGTCTGTGAGGGAGGGCAGAGGAACTGGCAGATGCCAGGCTCTGGGAACCCACAGGGGCCGGCCCCACTCTTTCCTCCTGATGTAGGGAGCCCCTTCAGATGCTCCAGGGACTGACAGATGCTGAGGAAGCCCTGATCCCTCCCACTACCGACTCACAAGGCCCTGCCTGCTTTAGGGAGGCTTCTTGGGGCCCCCCATCGTCATCAGCATCCCTGGAAAATCCTGGGATTGGAGAGAGCTGGCTGGCTCTTGTTCTGCTCGGTGGGAGCTGAGGAGAAGGCAGCCACCTGCAACATGGACATGGGGAGAGGAGGCTGCTCCTGCTTAACCCTCATCAGGAAGAGCGCGGGCACTGGGCTGAGGGGAGACGTTGAGGTGACCATCCACACAGGTGTGTTTGGGATACGATGATGGGTGGGGAGCAGGGGAAGTCCTTCTGCCTGTTTCTGGGCAGGAGAGAGTCTTGTCCAACTAGCTAAAGCAGATGCTCCTTGCTGTGGCCACAGGGACTGGCCTCGGGGCCCTCAAGGTCCTGCATGGAGCCCCCCACAGCTATGATTCCCTTCCCATATGATGACTGAACTCATGTGGAATTGATGTAGACACAGATTTACATTGGTTTCTAAAACAGTTCCCTCCCAACACACCATCACCAATGGGTCCCATCAACATGTCCAGTCCATCAGGCGCAGGGTGGGTGTTTCTGCTGGTTCCAGGGCCCGGAGGAGCTGGGGCCCAGGCCAAGAGGGGCCGAGGGTCAGCCGCCCTTCTGCCAGGCACAGACCCCAAGGGCAGAGCAGGGGCTGCCTGGGATGTGGCATTGGCTGTCTGGGAAGTGACCTGGGAGTTGGGGGCTAGGTGTTCGCCAAAGGGAGACTTCCAGAGTCTACGAGTGAGATGAGGACTGCATCAGGAGAGGGACCGAGGCTGGGGAGGATGCTCTGCTCTTTCCCAGGTTGTCCTGTCCTCCCAATCTCTGCTGAACTGCCCTCACCCCATGGGCCAACTTCTGCCCCCCTTACCCCTAACCCACCTCTTAGAATCTCAGATCCCAGCATGGACAGGACCCGGCACCCACCCTGGTTCCCTCCTGGCCAACACCTTCTTCTCCACGGTCTGAGTTCTGATTCCTCCCCCAGGGCGCTTATTGGCTCAGGACCCCTGTGACTGCCAGGGCACTGGTCCCAGCACTGCCTGCGTGCAGAGCTGTGGTCACGGCGCTGGGGGCTGGCCCAGCAGCAGAGGCTGGTGGGGCAAAGCTGTCTGGTACACGGTGGCCTGGCCCCTCGGCCAAGTGACAAAGGGAGCCATGTTTGGGTCCTCTCTGGCCCCATCTGCCCACAGAACACAGCAGTCAGCCTGACAGATGCCCCTCTGCCCCGTCCCTTCTGCTCGATGTGGGCAGTGTCGGAGGCCTGCTGTCTTCTGTGGCCTTTGGGAAGGAGAGTTTATCTTGGCAGGGCTTCCCCAGCTCAGTGCACATCAGGCCCTCGGGGAAAATGTGGGGAGCGAAGAGTCACTGGTGGGTGATGTGGGCAGCTCCCGTGACTCCTCTACATTCAGGGCCATCCTCAAGAGATAAGGTAGCACTGCCCCTTTGCAGGGTTTAGGAATGTTAAGTGAGCCGTGTTTGAAGGGAACATGGTCCATACTCTGGCGTGTGTGGGTGCCCAGCCAACTTCCTCACCTAAGGGTGAAAGTGACACCTTGGGGCTCCTGCTGGTTACCCCACTGGCTGTTGTCTATCCCACTGTCCCTGTCCTTGTCTTGGCTGAGCCATTCCTAGGAAGCAGAACTTGTGCTTCCTCCACCTCTGTGTCCCACCTGAGCCCTACAATCTGCCCCTAAATGGGCACAGTGGGGCTGACTGGGGGGCTCTGGTAGACTGAACATACGTCCCCCGCCCAGTTCCTGTGCTGAAGCCCTAACCCCCAACGTGATGGTATTTGGAAATGGGGCCTTTGGGAGTTATTCAGGGTTAGAAGAGACCATGAGGGTGGGGCCCTAATGATGGGATTAGGGCCCTGGTAAGAAGCAGAGACCCCAGAGCTCTCTCTCTCCCTGACACGAGGACACAGTGAGAAGGCGGCCATCTGCAAGCCAGAGAGAGAGCCCTCACCAGAACCTTGCCCACTGGGATGCTAACCTCGGACTTCCAGCCTCCAGACTGTGACAAATACACTTCTTTTTTTAATATGTGCCACCACCCCCAAGTCTATGGCACTTTGTCCTAGCAGCCCTATGTGACTAGGACAAAGTCCATAATCTCAAGAACTTCCTTCATGACTGGTATCTGGAAACTGTGCATCAGAGCCACGGGAAAGAAAGGCTCGGCCCTTTACAACTGTCAGCACACCTCCACCCCAAGTGCAGTGTATCACACATGAACCAGGAGAGCCTGGGACACAGTGAAAAGGAATCTGTAAATACCCATGATGTCATCGCATCCACACTTGGGGAAGCCATGCAGCTTGCTCACAGCAGGTGCTGGGGGTGTGCTGAGGCTCTTGGTCAGCTTGGCCTCCCTGCTCACACACCCAGGTCACTCTCTGGGAACCAGTGCGGCTGGGGTGGCCCCTGGCAGGTTTGCCTCCAGAGACCCCTCCCTTCACCATTGGATGTCAGATCCCCGAAGAAGCCATAGCCTCCTGGGAAACTCCATCTGACAACGTGAGCAAGGCTTGCCCCCGTTAGTGAACATGCTGTGCTTTCTGACAGCTATGAGGATGGACTTGATCCAGGTGGCTGCCCTTTTGTAGCTCACTTTGATTCTAACTTCAGCGTTGCATGATGCCCTATGAATGGAATATACAATGTGTGTCTTTCACATCTGTCTTCTTTCACTTAGAATAATATTTCCAATGTCATCTACATTTTTAGTATGTATCATTACATCAAACCTTTTTGTTGCTGAATAATATTCCATTAATGGATATACTAAAATTTATCCATTTATCAGTTAAGAACGTTTGGGTTTTTTTCACTTTTTGGGTATTGTGAATAACACTTCTAAGAACATTTGTGTACAAGGTTTCCTGGGGATGTATGTTTCCATTTCTCATGGCTACATACCTAAGAGTGAAATTGGTGGGCCATATGGAAACTCTATGTTTAACCATTTCAGAAGGTGCCAGACTGTTTCCAGTGTACATGAACCATTTTATATACCCACTAGCTGTGTGAGGGTCCCAGTGTCTCTCCATATTCGAGCCAACATTTATTATCAACTCTCTTTTTGATAAAGTCATCCTAGTGGTTCTGAAGTTGCATCTCATCGTAGTTTGCATTTGTGTTTCTCTGATGTTGAACCTCTTTCACGTACCTATTCGCCACTTGTATATCTTCTTTGGAGCAATGTGTACTCAACATTTAGTAATTTTTAACTGGTTTGTGTTTTGTCATTGAGTTATAAGAATTCTTTATATATTCCAGATAAAAATGCTTTACAAGATATAATTTGCAGAAATATTCTCCCATTCTATGGGTTGTCCTTTACTTTCTTGATGGTACTCTTTGAAGCACAAAAGTTTTTACTTTGGATGAAGTCCAATTTATCTATTTTTTCTTTTGTTACTTGTGGTTTTGATGTCATGTTTAAGAAACCGTTAGCTAGTCTTAGGTCATGAAATTTATTCCTATGCTTTTTCCTTTTTTAAAAACCATCTTAAACATTTTAAATTGTACAATTTAGTAATGTTATGTATATTCACATCATTGTGAAATTTAGATCTTTAGAAATTTTTTATCTTTCACAACTGAAATTTTGTACACATTAAATACTAATTTCCCCCCTACTCCCACCCCCGGCCCTTGGCAACCACTACTTTATGTTTCTGTGATTTCGACTACCTTAAATACTTCATATGAAGGGAAAGTATTTGTCCTTTTGTGATTGGCTTATTTCACTTAGCATAATGTTCTTGAGATTGATCCATGTTCTAGCATGTGACATGATTTCCTTCTTTCCGTAGGCTGCTTAGTCTTCCATTGTATGTATATACCATATTTTATCCTTTCATTCACCAATGGATATTTGGATTGCATCTCTTGGCTACTGTGAATAATGCTGTAATAGGGATTGTATGGAATTTGTAAATTGTTTTAGGTAATATGGACATTTTAACAATATTAAGTCTTCAAATCCACATGCATGGAGATGTCTTTTCATTTATTTATATACTCTTTGGTTTCTTGTAGCATTGTTGTTTTGTAATTTTTAGTGTCCAAGTTGTTTGCCTCCTTGGTTAAGTTTATTTCTAAGTATTTTGTTCTTTTTCATGCTATTATAAATAAAATTGTGGGTTTTTTGTTTTTGTTTGTTTGTTTGTTTATTTGTTTGTTTTTGTAGTAGAGACAGGATTTCACTATGTTGGCCAGGCTGGTCTCAAACTCCTGGCCTCAAGTGATCCGCCTGCCTCAGCCTCCCAACATGTTGGGATTACAAGTGTAAGTTGCCGCACCTGGTCTGAAATTTTCTTCTTAATTTCCTTTCCATATTGGTCATTGCTAATGTATGGAACTGCAATGGATTTTTGTGTGTTAATTTTGCATTTTGTAACTTTGCAGAAATCATTTATTAGTTCTTACAGGTTTTTGGTGGAATTTTTAGGGTTTTCTACATATAAAACCATATAATCTGTAAATAGAAATAATTTTACTTCTTCCTTTCCAACTGGAATGCCTTTTATATATCTTTTCCTTGTCTAATTGCTCTGGCCCAGTACTATGTTGAATAGAAGTGGCAAGAGTGGGCATCCTTGACTTTCTCCTGTACTTTGAGGAATAGCTTTGTCTTCCACTAGTAAACATAATGTTAGTTGTGGGCATTTCATGTAAGGCCTTTATTATGTGGTAGTATTTTCCTTTTATTCCTAGTTTGTTGAGTGTTTTTAATCATGAAATGGTGTTGAATTTTGTTGAATGCTTTGTCTGAATCATGTGGTTTCTGTTTTTCATTATATTAATGTGGTGTATGACTTGATTGATTTTTGTATCTTCACTCATCCTTGCATTCCAAGTATAAATCCAACTTGGTCATGATGTATAATCTTTTTTTTCTTTGAGATGGAGTCTCACTCTGTCACCCAGGCTGCAGTGCAGTGGCGCAATCTCGGCTCACTGCAACCTCTGCCTCCCAGGTTCAAGTGATTCTCCTGCCTCAGCCTCCTGAGTAACTGGGATTACAGGCACCTGCCACCAAGCCTGGCTAATTTTTGTATTTTTAGTAGAGACGGGGTTTCACCATCTTGGCTAGGCTGGTTTTGAATTCCTGACCTCGTGGCTCTCACATGGCAACTTTGCTGACCAGTACAGGGTGTTCTTGTCCAGGAGTCCATGGACCCTCAGGCAATCTAGCAAAATTTGGAGTCTGTGATGGGCTTGGAAATTTCAGTGAAGATTTGGGAGTGTCCTAACCCCAGCTATTTAAGAGCCTCTGCTTTAGATGGTGTGAGGGACCCAACAACCACATTCTATATAGCTGTCCTGGGCATGCTTGGTCTTCCCAGCAATGAATTTTCTGTGGTGTGGTCTCAGAGCTCACTTCACTCCACCCTGAGACTCTTGCACAGTGAAGTGCAAGGATGTGGCCAGGCCAATTGTCAGCAGTCAGCTCCTGGCCTGCCTAACTCAATATAGAGCATGCGTCCACCGTGTGCTACTCTGCTGCCCAGAGTCATCAGGCTCATGAGCCAGATACAAATGCTGAGTCTGGGGCCTGCGTGCCCGAGAGGCCCTTTCCTGTCAGTTGGCCCAGGGAGCATCACACAGGGCACTCTTCTCCTCAGTCTCTCTCGCATCTCTCTGGCAGACAGGTGGTCATGATCGTCAGTGCTGTGGGGCCCTATTATTCCAGAGCAAATGCTGGAGCCAGACTTACCCTGTGGAAATGCACGAGGACGTGGGCTGTGGTGATGGGCACCCTCAGTCAGGCACCAGCTGTCCCGCATTCCTGGCTTCCACCTCTGGGGCAGCTCCCTGACATTCTCTGAAGTCTGTCCACTTCGTTTTCTGTTACATTTGCCCTTGTCAGGGGGAGCAGTGGGCTTTGGCCTGTTTACCTAAGCCCTCATGTGTGTGCTGCAGCCTGGCTTGGGACACATTTGGTCTCCATGTGAAGACCGAGATTGCAACTTTCTGCGCTTGGAGCCCAAAAGGACAGGTGGGGCCTGAGGGACGGATGCCCCCATCCCAGGACAAGGAACTTCCCCCAGAAGAGCTGCTCATGGCACCCTGTAACTCCCAACTCCCATGGAGGGGCTGACAGGGGCTCCCTGCAAGCTGAGGCTCTGAGCACAGGGACACCTGGGGCCCCACATACCAGCCCCATGAGAAATAGGGCCAAAGAGCCTCATTCCCCCTATGAGTGGCTGGTCACCCACACTTCAGGGCCTCATCCTGCGCTGATCTGCACCTGACATGCTGAGTCTTCCTTGGGCTTCATCCCCTGGAGTCATCCCCTATTCCTGGCTCCCATGCTGGTGGCCCTGCCTTCTCCCCCAGACACCCAAGGACTCTCCAGGCCATACCTCAGTGACAGCAGCTTTGCCATCCCACTGGCCTCAATCCCAGAAAAACTTCAAGAGAGCAAGGCCCAGGATTTTAAAAGGGCTAAGACTAATGTTACAGAAAATGGACTGTAAGATAAGGAATTTTCACAAGTATTCTCCAATTTATGCAGAGAATGAAACAGAAATTGTGGAATTCAAAGTTGCAAAAAACAACACTAAGAAATAGTGGTTTAAGCAGATGATGCTTTCATGGATTCAGGGAAATGACTGCTATCCACAGAGTGTGCAGAGGAAGTGCCTGGTCCTGGTGGGTAGCATGGCTGTGGCTCATCCAAGAGAATGAGACAGGGCTGGGCAAGCCTTATATGTGGAATTCACCAGAGTGAAGCTTGGCCAGTGATGCAAGGGAAGGACCACAATGCTGAAGGTGTTAACTACCAATTTTTGCCACCATCAACCCTGATTCAAAGCATTTGCTGAAGAACCAGAGCAGACTGACAGTGAGATTTTGGGCCCCCGGGCCAGTCATCCCTACAAAATGAAATATTTCTCTAAGAACAGGACAAGGAGTCACCGTTTTCCCAAACCACAGACCATATCTTAATAGAACAACTTTTTAAAAAGTTTTTATTTTATTTTAAAGTTCCAGGATACATGTGCAGAATGTACCGTTTCATTACATAGGTATACATGGGCCATGGTGGTTTGTTGCACCTATCAACCCATCGTCTAGGTTTTAAGCCCTGCCTGCATTAGGTATTTGTCCTAATGCTCTCCCTCCCCTTGACCCTGACCCCCTGACCCCCTGACAGGCCCCGGTGTGTGATGTTCCCCTCCCTGTGTCTATGTCTTCTCATTGAATAGAACAACTTTTAAAAATGTGCAGCTGGAGCAGCCTTGAAGGGAATTGGTAAGCAGTGAGTGGAGAGTGATGTGTTTCAGGGAGGATTTGGACTGTCTGGCTTGCAGGTGACCCTCTTGTCCCACAGAGGCAGTCTGCCAGTAACTCATCAGGAAGCCCAGGTAGTCTTCCTCAGGCACTTCCATCATTCCTGGGATGGCAGAGATAAAAAGGGACTGGAAGAGATGGGGGCAGAGAACAGCCCTCACTGACAGCACAGAGCCTCACCTCTCCACACAGTCTCTGTCTCCTCTCCTCCTCTGCCCACACGGTGACTCCCAGCCGCTAAGATTCCTGCTTTCAGCAATGCCCCTGATAGCACACCAAATATCTGAGGAGTTCTCAAACACCAACTCTTCACTGCCCATTAGCACAATGAAGAAATTGAGGAAAATGTATATGTCCCTGAATGTTGCTAATGGTCTTAGGGCAAACTGCTACTTATTCTGCATTATGTATTTCTTAGTTAATTGGGGTTAGGATGTCATTTTTAATGCAATGATGTTAATGGTGTTTGTAAAATGAACGATGTGCAACCCCATGAAAAACTCTGTGCTTTTTGAAGGAGTAAAGGAAGCAAGGAGGAGTGATAAAAATTTTGATTGTTGAAGTGGCATGGGGGCAGGTTGAACTTGTCCAAGACTGCTTCCCTGCAGGCCAGCCTCCTTAAATGCTTCATGAATGCTCTCCATCGCTGGGCATAAGGTCATCAAGGCTGAGTTCTAGTAGAAGAGATATTCTAGAGGTCTAGAATGTCTTATACAAACACACTTAGAGACACCTGTTCTAGTAGTCCACCATTGCCTCCACTCCTTAGGTCTTGAAGCAAAATCATATTCATTCATTCTACAAGTATCTACTCAAGATGTGATATTTGTCAGGTGAGTGATGAGCACAATGGTTGACAGGCAGAGACAAACAATAATAAAAAAATGAGTAATAAAGGGTAATGAAGGCTGGGCATGGTGGCTCATGCTTGTAATCCCGGCACTTTGGGAGGCGGAGGCAGGTGGATCACCTGAGGTCAGGAGTTCGGGACCAGTCTGGCCAACATGGTGAAACCCTGTCTTTACTAAACATACAAAAATTAGCTGGGTGTGGTGGCCTCTGCTGAGCTCTCTTTTGTGTTTTAATGTAAGGTTAAGGAGCTCCTGGGCCTTTGGGGATTCTCAGCCAAACCAGGTCCCATCATCATGGCTTTCTCCCCTCTCTGCACGGGCGGACAGATAATCTGCTGCTGCACACAGGACACGCAGAGCTCACCCCTGCTCACTCAGGCTTACCTCCTAGGATGACTCCTAGGCAGGCAGAAGTCGAGGCTGGCTTGCCACACTCACATTCTGGGACCAGGGACCTGCACCTGCCCTTGCTACACTCAACTGTCTCTCAGGCTGTCACCACTGCCCTCAGAAGAGCTCACACTGCTGGGGAGCCCAACTGTTTCTCAGGTTCTTGCCAAGAGGTGGCAAGAGAGTTTCCCCTACTTACCTGCCCACTGGGAACAAAACTTTATTTACTTTTTATTGAGGTAAAACAGATTTAACAGAAACTACCATTTTCATCATTTTTGAGTGCAGGGTTTATTGGCGTTAAGTTTATTCACATTGTTTTCTCACCATCACCGCCAATTCATCTCAAGAACTTTCTCATCATCCCAGTATCAGACTCTGAACCCATTAAACACCCAGCTCCCTGCTCCCCTTTTTCCAAGTCCCTTAATTTGAAGTGCAATGAGGAGACTATTTTTGAAATTAGAATGTTCACTTTTTGTTGACTTTCTCCATGAAAACCTTCCCTTGATTTAGTCAGAAGTCCCCACACCCTGGTTTCTGGGACAGATTCCCCCCAGGCCTCAGGAGACTGTGCCCCATCTGCTGATGATGCCATAATGGGACCCCAACAGGAAAACCAGGATATCTAATGTGCAAGGGCGGGGTTTTCAGGGGAGAGGAGGGGGTTTCCCGAGAATTCTGGAAGCATGTCTGGAACTAGAGCCTTGCATGGGAAGTGCGGCATTTTTCTATCAGTGAAGCACTGATAGAAAAAATGGGGAGACACCTTCTGAGGGGGCATCACAGGCAGGGGAGAGGAGAGGCAGACAAGCACTGGCTGCACTTATACTCAGGCCACTGAGCAGCGGAAACAGTCCAGAGTGTGTGGTGCCACTTTCCCATTGGGATGTTGTGCCTTTTCTTACCAATTTTTGAGAACTTTTGGAATATTATGGATAATATTAAGGATAATAATCCCTTTCCCAGTTCCAGGCTGCTCCCTGTGGCCAGAGAAGGCAGCCTTGAAGGTGTTGGGTAAAGACCACCTGCCCAGCTCTCCAGGCTTGCTAATGTGGGGGAAGGAGATGCAGCCCAAGGATCCTGAAGCTCTTGCATCAAGTAGCTATACTCCACCCAGAGCTGCCGGCCACGGGTCCAGTGAAAGAAAACTGTCAGGACCACCACTGCTGCTGCCACCAACCCCTCCCCGGCAATAGAGGTGGAATAGAGATGACCTGCCCCCACCTGCTAAGCTTCCCTGCCTATCTCCTGAGGGATTCCTGGGCAACATGGATAAGAACAACACCAGTAGAACATCAGAATCCAGGAGACTAAAACAGCTGCTTGGGAAGATAAAGAAGACATGGCAGGGCAGGCATGGTGGCTCACACCCGTAATCCGAGCACTTTGGGAAGCTGAGGCGGGCAGATCACGAGGTCGAGAGATCGAGACCATCCTGGCCAACACGGTGAAACCCCGTCTTTACTGAAAATACAAAAATTAGCCGGGCATGGTGGCTGGTGCCTGTAGTCCCAGCTACTCAGGAGGCTGAGGCAGGACAATGACTTGAACTCGGGAGGTGGAGGTTGCAGTGAGTGGAGATTGCACCACTGCACTCCAGCCTGGCGACAGAACGAGATTCCGCCTCAAAAAAGAAGACATGGCAAACTGCAGTGCCACCCAGCCTGCCCCTGCTGTCTCCACACCTGCTGAGACTCCCTGCCCGGGCCACCTACACTTCACAGATCCCAGCTCCTCCTCCTACCTCTGACTTGGCCCACATGGCTGCTGGGCCCCTCACCCTGCCTGTCCCTCCACCTTCGCCCACACCAAGAATTGAGTAAAAATTGATATCCATAATTCCTAACTCTCCCCTGGGTCTTCCTGCTGACCTTGCCCCCATTTTGGGGGTTCCACCTAATGAGAAAGGAGGCTGCCCTCATTCAGCTGCAGCTTCAGCACCTCTGACCTCTCAGCCCTGCCCCATACCTCCTAGCCCCACATCTTTCTCCTTCCAGCTTCCCTTCAGAAGGGAGCCTCCTACACCCATATGTGTTTTCCTCTCCTCCTCTTTCCTCCCCAACTCCTCTTCCAGCACCTTCCACCGGGATCGCTGCTATCACTCATCAGCAGTTGAATTCCACAGCAGCCATTTCCACCATCACAGCAAGGGCATCTGCCCACCTGACCTTGCAGCCTCCTTGAGCCCTCAGCTCTTTGCTATGGACATGACTTCCACTACTAACGCTGTGGTTTTCAAATCTTCACCAAGCTCCAGAGTGAGCACCCTCTTAATTTCCCAAATTCAGTGCACAGTAGAGGCACCCTGGAAAGACATCGGCTTACGTCTGCCTGGCTACATTCATATTCTCCAGGCCCACCCCTCAGCCCACACTTGGGGCCCCCTGATGGGCAGCAATGAAAAGCCTCTGTCCCCAGTGCCCCTGTTTTTCCAAGCCTTCCCATCGGGGCTCCTCCAGGCACCTCCAGTTTATGGAGCAGCGCCTCTGCAACATCCTCCTCCAGAACAGATTGTGCGATGGGGGATGGCACCACAACTGCTGCAACTGAACACAATTAGGGTCCCCATTCAGAAAGAGCGCCCAAGGCCCACCTGGTACACACAGGTGGTATGATGGGGAACAAATAAGAAGCAAGTCTCCCTCCACATATGGTCCCCATGAATGGACATTGCTCCTGGAGGAAGGGGCTCAGTCCATTGAAGTTAAATTTAAGCTGCTCTCTCCTTATAAAAGCCAGAGGCCCCAAACCTCAATGTGTGTGTGTGTGTGTGTGTGTGTGTATGTATGTGTGTGTGTGTGTGTGTTGGAGGAGGATGTGGGGCTGATGAGCCCAGTCAGAACCATAGTGTATTTGAGGCACTCCCCTGTGGACAGAAGAAGCCAGCATGTGTCATCATCAGCTGTGCCCTCCCTGGCTTGACTGTTCATCTGGCTGACCAAAGCCCCCAGCCAGGTCTCTATTCTTTGAACTGGCAGGATGCCCGCTGCTATTTCCAGGTGCCCCTCTTCCCCTTGCCTGTTTACTTTGATGGGCTCTTCTCTGTCCTGATTGTAAATTAAAACCTTATTCTTGTTGCTCTGCCTCTGTTCATGTGTCTATATATTTTATAATATATATCTTACATATTTTAATTTTTAATTAAGTATTATATATATTAATTATATGTAACCTTAAAACTAGATATAAAGAATGTAGGCATGTAGATACCTTGCAACCATAAAACCTAAAGAAACTTGCAGATCAACAAATGCAGAGACCTCATAAAATTCAAATGACAATATTAATATAATGGAACAAAGGCAGAACAGTCACTCCCCTCCGCTGTGAGGAAGTGGCGCCCCCTGTCCACATGCAGACTCTCCTGAGACCCGCCTGTTGGCAGTGTGCTTTGCAGTAACTGGCTGCTTCCACCACTTGTCCCTATGTAAGTTACACAGAGGCTTCCTTTGCACATCCTGTAATGAAGCCTTTTGGCCTTCACTTGGTGAGAACACAATATTTCATATTAACTCCCTGTGCATTCTTTTTTTTCTTTATTATTTCTCTATAACAAAGAAAATGTCATGCCCTGGCACCAAAGAAATGTTAAATAGATAAAAATATGGAAGCTCTCTGTTAAGTCGATCATCCAAATGAACCAAAATATGTTGATCTTGATCGGTCACTCCACATCTCCAGCAATATGACCCTGTAGGCACCTGATCTCCTCCATTAACATTTTATTTACAAAATCAGGCTTCAGGCCAAAGCTGGCTATGGTTTGCTGACCCCTGTTCTAGTAGAAGAGACATTCAACAACTAATTACACAAATAACAACCACTAAGTGCTATCAAGTAAAAGTACCCAATGCTTAAAACCCTCTAAGAGTAGAGATTGAACCTATGCAGGTAGATCAGATTGCCCTGAGGGAGTGGGTCTTAGATTAAACGTAGTTAATTAGTCAGGTGAGGGCAAGACTACTCCAGATGGAGGAAACAACCTGGGGAAAGGGTTGGGGCAGAAGACAGCCTGGCAAACCCAGTTTGAAAGAGGCTTATGGAGCGGGAGCAGGAAGAGTGAGGGCCAGGGCCTGTGAGCTCAGGCTGAAAACAGCAGGGAGGCCAGCCCCTGTGAGGTCCTGTGGGTCTTGTGAGGGAATTAGGTCTCTATTTAAATACAGAGACTGCGGCACAAGACAAGATGGAGTTGGAAGCCTCCTCTGTTCACCTCCAGACCCACCTTCTGTATCCTGTTTGTGTTCATTTTGGTTCTAGGCTTGCCCAGTGTCTTTACAAGTTTTCCTCCATGCAATTCCAAAATCTTCCAACAAAACAAAAAGGAAAGGAAATTTTGTCTGCACCTAGGCTATCCTATAGTGGAGGACCTAGAGGACTGGAGAGAGCTGTGTTCCTGCTTCTCCTTTCCTCTCTGATGCCCCCTTATATGGAGTCTTAGCAAAGCTTTCTCTGTCCTCGATGTCAAAGGAGCCTTCAGAATATCACCTGGGCTCCTCCTCCTGTGTTACCATGCCTTCTGGGTCTCGCCCTGCCCGCCTCCGCACTCTGTCCTCACTGCCTCACTTCCACGCTCCCCTTGGGGACACTTGCACAGCTTGCTGCCCCGTGAATGCTCCATGTCCCCTTTTCAGTTCCAGGTTGTTCCTCTGCTGGAAGAGCATGTGCCTCGCCCGGCCCCTTTGTCTGGACACCTTCTTTTCTTTAAGAATCCACCCAGGAATGGCTCCTGATGCTTCCAGGTCTGCAGGAAGCCATCCCCGGCCCCTTCCTCATCCAGCCTGAGCGCTGTGCTCCCCTGCAGTGTCCACACAGTTCCCGGTATGAAAGACTGACATCCCAAACTACTGTTCACGTCAGCCTCCTGCACCGCACCCTGAGCTTGTGAGCTCTATGACAGCAAAGGGCTTATGTGAAGGGCGTTTGGCACTTTCCACATGAAGTTTAACCCATTTACCTTGTTAATTCCATTTGTTCCCACCTCTTAGGTACCTGCATATTTCTATCCTTCAGATTTCCTAGCACTGGGCCTTATAGCAGCATTTCTTAAAATGGGGTCCCCAGTCCAACAGCATCAGCATCACATGGGAATTTGCTGGAAATGCAACTTCTGGAGTCCTCCTTGGACCCCTGGGATCTAAAACTCTGGGGTTAGGTGCAGCGATCTGTGCTTTCATAACCCCTCCAGCTGACACTGAGGCCGGCTAACGTTTGAGAACCACGGCCTCCCAGGAAGTCACTGCTCATGAAATTGTTGATTCCCTGAGGACAGTAACTGGTTATTTTCAATCTGAAAAAGAAAAAGAGTAACTGAGGAAATGACAAAGAAAATTTTTACTTTAGAAAAAGAATTTTCCAACTTGATATTTCAAATACGTGACTTCCAAAGAAGGCCTAGCTTTGTACATTTAAAAACAAGGTTGATTCTGCCTGGCTCAGTCTACCCCACGTGTGGTTTTGCTGAAGGGCAGGTGTTTGGAAGAGATAACCTTACCAGGTGCTCTCCACTGCTCAGATTCTCTGCTTCTAGGATATTCTATGTAGCATAAAATAAATATAAGCTAGAGAGGAGGGCATGGTTGCTAGGGGAGTAAAAAGATGGTTTCTGTTTTGCAGGATGAAAGTATTCATGGATGGATGGTGGTGTTGGTTCCATAAAAATGTGAATGTATTTAATGCCGCCAATCTGTGCAGTTCAAGATGGTTAAAATGATCAATTTTATGTTATTTATGTTTTACCACACTTTGAAAATAAAAATAAAGAGATAAAGCTGGCACCTAAAAATGTCCAGGTAACAATAAATCTGGCAGAGTGAAGTACAGGACTACCCATTGTATTTAGAGCAGCCCAGCAAAGCAGAGGCCCCTAGAGAAATGGGGGATAAGAAAAGTGAAAGATTGTTATTTCCAAAATAACCACCTACAAAGTACAAAGTGGTCTTCCTAATGGGAAGAAGTGATTGTTCCTTGGCTCATTTTCTTTTTTTTCCTTTTTTTTTTTTTTTTTTTTTAAGTTTTCAGTGTTTTTGTTCAGTTTGAATTCATATGTGGGAGGATGTCATAGTGTTTGCAGGCCTTTGGATTCTTGAGAACTTAATCAGGCCAAGCTGTTCATGAGGAGTGGGGTGCTCAAATTCATTCTTCCAACAAGGGGCTGTTGGGTACCACTATGGTGCCAGCCCTGTGCTGGCCACAGGTATGAAATGCCCAGTGAGGGCCACATCCTGGCTCACCTACCAGGCCACGGGCTGAGCTCCACAGTTGCCTGAGAAATTTGCTTTCAGGGGTAATTTGTAGAGATTGTAGCTGAGCTTTGGGTGACAACCTGAGGTGCGGTCAGACTTTATCATCACAACCAAAAGTCACATGCTGATGAGAGGCTCCAAACAACACCTGGAGCCCATGCCCCAGCAACTTCCAGATGTTGAGTTGGGACAGGGAACAGGCTTGTCTGCTCCAAATGAATACCCTGGCCAGAAAGAGTAAACCAGGGAGGCACTCTTGAAAGAGCATGTTAAGGAGCAGTGAGCCCCCTTCCACCTCCACCAGGAAATGTCCCCAGGACAGACAGCTGCCGACCTCTTTCTGGAAGCGCTGGGCCTCAGAAGATTGCTGGTTCCTGCCTACTTGCTCCCAAGGCATATTCTTGATCAGAAAGGAGGGAAGAAGTGCGTAGGCATGGGGAGGAGGGGCAGGGAAGAAGTCACAGGAATGCCCACAGCAGAGGTCTGTGGAGATGCTGGGCTATCCCTGGTGGCAACACTCTTGGGGCTGGCGCTGGGTGAGGATGGCCTCCAAAGCACCCTATGCTGTGACTCCAGCCCCCAGGATCCTCCTCAGGGTACAGAGAAGGAGCTCAGGTGAGCTCTGGGTGGATGATACCGTCTTTTTCCATTGAAATAACAGAATTTTACAACTAAAGAGAACTTCCAGATGATTTGAGTCAACTGCACTCTTTTGGGGGCTGGAAGCAGAGATGAAAAGATTTAGACAAAATTACACAGTTCAATGATTAACAATTCAGACTAAGTGTCAGGCCATCTGACCACAACTGAGGCCCCCCGATACTACTCTACTAAGTGTATTATACTGTGGTGTGTATGTAGGTGTGTGTGCACATGTGTGTGAATGTGTGTCAGGACTACATGTATATACATGCGTATTGTGTAAGGGTGTGAGTATGTGTGTATTTGGGCATCTGTACATAAGTGTATGTGTATAGGTGTGTTGTGTGCATACATGCTCATATGTGTAATGAGTTAGTGTGCATGTACCTATGTGTGTATTGAGCATGTGTGTAATTCTATGTGTTTGTGGGTGCACATATATGTGTATTTGTGTGTGCTTAGTGAGCGCTTCGCTGGCCATAATGGCTTGTTTTTCTGGCCAAGAGACTTGATTCTCCCTGATTCAGCCGTGAGTGTGCATTTCCCAGGGTCAGGGTGACTAACCAGGACATCCAGAGAACTTTCTTCTTCTCTGCCCCACCCATCCTGCCTACTCCATTCTCGGGTGTCAGAGGCTGAGGCTCTGGCCCCAGTGTGAGCCCCACAGGAGGTCTTCAGAGCCCTCAGGTTGCCTCACAGCCAGCCTCCATGAGCATCTTTCTGTTTTCCAAGAGGGTGAGCCAGGGCTGCTCCTGTCAATGACAAGATGCTGGGACCTGGATTCACGTGCAAGGAGAAACCAGGCACTGGGGGCTGAGCGTCCAGCTGCTGCTGGGCTGGGAGTCAGCAACCTCTGTGCTTCCAGGGCTCACCCTCCCTGGCAATGGGCGGTGCCCCTTGGCTTTGCGGAAATTTGAGGCAATGAAAGTTTTTATTTCCTCTGGCTGTATTTTCTAGACATATTTTAACGTAGCTATAATCTTACAAAATGTTGAATTTTTTGTCCTGCTTTTAAAAAGATTTTAATTAGGTTAGATTATAACCAAGGCGGGTGGATCACCTGAGGTTGGGAGTTCAAGACCAGCCTGACCAACATGGAGAAACCCCATCTCTACTAAAAATACAAAATTAGCTGGGCATGGTGGCACATGCCTGTAATTCCAGTTACTCGGGAGGCTGAGGCAGGAGAATCATTTGAACCCGGAAGGCAGAGGTTGCAGTGAGCTGAGATCGTGCCATTGCACACCAGCCTGGGCAACAAGAGCCAAACCTCATCTCAAAAAAAGTAAATAAATAAATAAAAATGACTAATAAATACTTACTGAAAGTATAAGTATAAAAAGCTTTAATTATGTTAATTATGAGATTTTAAAACTGTATTACTGGAGAAAAGAGACCAAATCTCCTCATAATACTTTTTTTGTTAATTTATTTAATAATAAAGATGAACATAAACACCTGTGCAATTCAGTGTTTAAAGTTTGCCAAGGTATATGTATATATTTTTCCCAACGTTGATGCTGTGAGAAGCCCAAGCCATGGAGAGGCCCCAGGCAGGTGCTCTGGTCAACAGCCCAAGCTAAATGCCCAGCCAACACCAGCATCTGCAACCAGCCCTGTGCGTGAGGCTTTGCAGATGTCTAGTCTCGTCAAGCCCTGCAGATGTCTAGTCCCATCAAGCCCTACAGATGTCTCCAGCACAGATAGAGCCTACAGCTGTCTCCCCGTGAAACCACACAGCCAAGTCCAGGCGAAAAAAGTGAAAGATGTTTCTACAAAGCCACTGAGTTTCTGGGTGGTTTGTTTTACAGTAATAGAGGAGAACCAGAACGGTCTGTTCCTGCACTCTCCAGTGGTCCCCTATGTTCAAACACTCCGCTTAGCAAGCTTCATCACCCAACACCTGGACCTAATCACTCTGCAGGGTCTCTCACTGCAGTCATTTCTCAGGGTTACTGACATGCTAGTCTCTGCTAAGATGCTCACCTCTTCACCTTCCCTTAGTGACTGGCTGCTCTGGTTGATATTGTCTTTCCCTTCCCCCCGGAAACCCTCCCTCATTACCTCCCTTTCCCTAACAGTTCCAGCTCCTTGAGGTCAGGGCCTGTCTCTTCCACCATGGTGATAACCTGCATATGTTGGGTGCTGCATAAATTCTAACTGTATCAAATCTAGGACCCAACCTGCACAGTTAAGGGATTTACCTTGGGAATCTTCCCAATCTTCTTGCTAACATGGGCTACTTTTATTATAAAATTTCACAGTTGCCATTTTTGTCATTTTATGTCGAAAAGATGGTTTTAGCAACGACTAGGGAAGGGCACGTAAGAGTCCAGCATGGCACATGATCCAGTTCAGATGAACTTAAATGGAGCCTGCTGGAGGCTTTGTGGGATGAGACCCCATTGTCCTCCTAGTTTTCTTCCTGAAAGATTATGGAGTCTATTCACTAAACACTTCTAACTATCTTTTATATTTTTTTTCAGTGGGAACATGAGACTTTTGAAAAAACACAGGTGATTAAACTATGTGCTCTTTTAGCCAATACAATGTGGGAAGTTTTTCTGTTGGTTAAAATAATTCAGGTGCTTACAGGTAGCTTGGTGTGAATGTGGCCACAGACTCAAAGTTTGGGTCCTTTTATCTGTCTTCCACCTTCCAAGGCCAGCATACCATTCCTGAAGCCCAGCCTCACACCCTGGAGTTTATCCCTCATCCCTTGAGGACCCAAAGACAAACAGCCTTGCCAACGCACTAGTGCCTTGTCTCACCTCAACTGCAAAGTGGCCATGGGGTCTTCACCAGCAGCTGGGGAAGATGCTCCAGAAACTGGCCCTGATAGCTTTGCCCTGTAACTTGGCTGGGTTGCAAACATTGTGGGTGAGATAAACATGATCTCTAAGGCTCTTTTTCAGTATTGAAATTACATGTATGTCTGATCACTTTAAAGAAAAATGTGAATTTTTTCTTTATTAAAACAATTTTCCTTTGTCCTTATAGATCGTTTGTCATATTTTGCTTCAATCAAGAGTTGGGTCAGACACAACCACTGGGCAGCTGACATGAGATCTGCACATTTGTTACTAGAAGAGCCAGAAGGCCACCCACTGTTCCTCCTAGTGAACCACTGGTAGAGCAGGTATGGCTTAGAGCCCAGTTTCATGCTTGACTACTGATATGGTTTGGCTGTGTTCCACCCAAATCTCATCTTGAATTTTAACTCCCACAATTCCCACATGTTGTGGGAGGAACCTGATGGGAGGTAATTGAATCATGGGGGCAGGTCTTTCCCATGCTGTTCTCATAATAGTGAATAAGTCTCACGAGATCTGATGGTTTTATAAGGGGAAACCCCTTTCGCTTGACTCTCATTTTCTTCTCTTTTCTGCTGCCATGTGAGACATGCCTTTCACCTTCTGTCATGATTGTGAGGCCTCCCCAACCACGTGGAACTGTGAGTCGATTAAATCTCTTTTATAAATTGCCCAGTCTTGGGTATGTCTTTATCAGCAGTGTGAAAACAGACTAATACAACTACACAAAAAAGTCAGTGCATCAAAACAGAAAGAAGCCCCACCAGTATATTTGAAATTACAGTTTATTTAAACAGGTAAAATTGTATATATCCTTTTAAAATGAAAATACAAAGTAAGTGAATCAATAATACAAACATGTTTATAGCAGTAATTAAAATACAGGTAACATTTACCAGTGTGAAAATATCAGAATTCCAATCACACTTGGATCTTCAATGATTGAAGTGCGCATTCCACACAGCAGGGGCTGGTAGATTGAAGATAAATTCCTCCTTTGGATGTGCCATCCTCAGTCAAGTTCTTCCTCATCACCATCCATCAGCTCACACAGTGGGGTAGCTGGCTGCTGTGGCAATTCCACAGTTGTTCCTCCGGTCTTTGGCCATCTTTATGTAGCCATCCATGCCCCAGTTTTTACCCTAGCTGAAAGGAGAGCAGGTTTTCCATTTCAGAGGAAGGATAAAGCACATTGGGTTATTAACTTAAACAGTGTGCCAGAAGCCACAGTGTGCCAGAAGCCACAGGCTTAACATAAAGAATCAGGAGATGCTGATGTTCCTGTTCATCCCTTGTAAATTCTTGAGTCAAAACCTGCATATCCCTTCAATCCCAGACCCAAAACTGTGACCTTTCACAGAACTGCAAAATCAGAAACAGAAAAAGGATAGGATGTCTTTCCAGCCGATATACTTCAGAATTAAGAAAATGTTCAGAATTTAGACATGCAATGGGACAAATACCATATTAATATCCCCAGCATGCTTGTGACAGTATCTTGACGTTACAATCAATCATTAATATTCTGTGTTCTGCCTAAGGGGGAAAAAGACTTCTGGGATTTCAGAAATGTGATTAAGGGCTTGTGGTATGTAAATACTGATTGCAAAAAAGGATTCCCTTTTGAGTTTCAACTATAAGTCTTTCTGGCAATTTATACCTGTTCTTCACCAGCCAATATTTATTGTTATCTGAGTCTGCTCCTTCATAGCTGTAGCCAACCAGCAGCATAGCATGATCCAGACCTTCGGGGTCACAGCGTGGCTCAAAATAAATTCCTGAGAGAATAAAATGAAGGCTGGGTGAGAAGTTCCCAAGGACACCTGACGGTAACCCACCCTGTCACCCACAGGGAGGGAGGCATCTCTAAAATCAGTGAAATGACACACAGTCCAGATTGGGCTTAACAAGATCTATTGTTATCAAGGCTAGGGAATTAGGCTCTCATCCACAACTAGCAGAAATAGAAATTAGCATAAGTCCCTCATAAAAAAACTTTCCTACAGGCATAAAAGACCGCTCATTTTAAGCTTGTAATTCTACTCTAGAATATCAATCTTAAAAATAGCACAGAACACCAAAATCCTTGACTCAAAAGGCTCTTTTCAGATTTAATCACAGAAGTAAAAATCTTTGGAAAAATTATAAGAATACAACAATTAGACAATATTTAAGTAAATTAAACTATACTATAAATAACATAGCTATTTATAAAAAGTTATGAAGTACAGGTATTCATGGAGATACGCTCAATGTAATATCAAATAGAAGCATTGGGTATGATTATTGCGTGTATAGAGTCCATCATGCTGGTGTGTCATGGTGGTTTACTTTTTTTCTGCAATAATTTCTATGAAGAAAGATGCTTACCTTTTTTATAGAACTGGAAGGAGACATGGCTTGCACCAGCAGCAACAGAGATGGGCCCCACAGTTGCCACTGCCTTCGCCAGGTCCTTCTCCTGTGAAGGGATGTCCACAAAGCCAGTGTCATTAGCAGCAGAATACTTGGGATTGTACCTACAGGTTTTAACCTTTTAAAGGTGAAGAGGGAGGCGACTTGATTACTACCATCCTTCTCCTGGGGAATGTGAGTCAGAACCACAACACTCAGCAGTTTGCAGCATAGAATTTCCAAGTCAACACTGTTACACATCACCCAAGGAAGTGAAATGTTATTATTAATAGTTAATTTGAAACTGAAAATTAGCTCAGTTCTCTTCAGCGAGACCCCTAGGTTTACTTTCCGTAAGACATTTTTCACAATGGAGACATCTGTATTATATGTAGAATGGTTTGTATATTCTCCATGTCACATAGAAGCAAGAACAGCTGCATGCTAACCATGTAATCACAGAACTGTGCAAAGGCTATAATTTATAATGACAACACTGTCACTTTGCAGATAGAGATTCCACCATCTAAAACGTGAATTCTGAAAAGTGTCTGTTATCTCTGAAAGTGTCCCAGTAAAACCAAGCAGGAATGGCAGCAAGAAAAGGAGCTCCATTTACCTTTCCTTCATATGGATAGGATGCCTCAGAGTCCAGGCCTCCGTTCTCCTGAACATACCGGAAGGGATTATCCATGAAGCCACCATTGCAGCCCTCATTGCCTTGAGGCCCAGAGCAGTCTACCAGATTCTGCTCATTCAGTGAGATAAGTTTGCCTGTTTTCCAGAACATCTGCCCTTCCAGAGCACCAGTTGCACTAAAAGCCCAACAAGAGCCACACTGACCCTGAAAAGAGAATAAAAAAGCTGATATCCACACACACACACACACACACACACACACACACAGAGCAAGACTTTTAACAACATGAGTATTTAGCTCATGTAGCTAAATACTCCTTTAAAAAGTGAACTGCATGTTGCTGCACAGTCTACCATAGCACAAATGTCAATTGCTTCTTGGCTTTCCTGGGGTGATGGGAGGTCTGAACCTAACACAGTCTCACCTGATCCTTCACAGGAGTCATGTAGCCTTTCTCTCTCCAGTCCACAGATGTGGGGATCTCAGGAAGCAGGCGTTCCTGGAACTGTTTCCCCTTCCTGTGCTTCTGGTATTGAAAACCATTCATCACCTGCCTGAATTCTTCATTGGTCTTCAAAGAAAAGTAAATAAAATGTTAAGAAGCAAGAGATTAATTTGGTAAAGAACTGAGGAGGGGAAGCACAGAGCTGGGCAGCCCACAGCATACTTACCATGTCTCCAAAGGCGTTCATGGCCATTGTGAAGCTGTGTTTCCCTTGGCTGTATTCCTGATTGTGCTGCTCAATCATCTTCACGTCCTTCTCTCACACTGCTCTCCTCCATCCTTCTCCATTCTAAAGGCAAACATGTAACTGATGCTCTTCATTTCTTTTTTTTTTTTTTGAGACGGAGTCTTGCTCTGTCTCCCAGGCTGGAGTGCAGTGGCACGATCTCAGCTCACTGCAAGCTCTGCCTCCCGGGTTCATGCCATTCTCTTGCCTCAGTCTCCCGAGTAGCTGGAACTACAGGCGCCTGCCACCATGCTAACTTTTTGTATTTTTTTTTTAGTAGAGACGGGGTTTCACCATGTTAGCCAGGATGGTCTCAATCTCCTGACTTTGTGATCCACCTGCCTTGGCCTCCCGAAGTGCTGGTATTACAGGCGTGAGCCACCGTGCCCCGCCGATGCTATTTATTTCTAATTAAAACCCAACATATGCTAACCAAGTGAATCTTCAGACAGGGATGTAAGAGTAACCATGGCCAGGGAAGGCTTGACACTTCTAGGAGATGTTCTCCAAGCTGAGACACAACAAGGGTGTATGCCCATATCGTGCTCATAATCAGTGCTATTAAGTTATTGCGTTAGGTTATTGGTAGGAGCCAGCCTCTAGAAGCCACTTTCTGGCCATACGATCCCAATAGCAATGCCCATCTCTCTGGGGTTCCCCTGGACAGTTTCAGATGCCACCAACCATGCCATATAATCTCTTGTGCTTTGCCTTCCACTTGGTCCATTGTGCGTCTAAACTGTGGTCACGTGTTAGAGCAGCTGAGGCAATTCCCAGGCAAAAGGCAGCCAGGAGGAGTGAAGGATTCATGTTTCAAAAATCTAGGAAGGGAAAAGAAATGAGGATCTGATTAGACCGATCCTAAAAAGCCATTTTACTATGCCCTGAGAAACTAGAGCCACCATGGTAGAATAAAAATATTTAAATTATTCTTCCAAGCATTTACCTAAGGACTGTGGAAGAGGCCAAGGATGTGGCTGGAGAAAAACAGGGCAAGTGGAGGTATTGGAGGGACCCACCAAAATGAAAAGCAGCCTGTCCAGAGCTGTAGGAGTTGAAACAGTTTTCTGGGATGATGATGACAGGCTATGAAAAGGGCAGGAAGGTACCTGATGGGCGAGAAGCTTAAGGCAACAACCAGGAAACTAGGAAACCGTTGGCCCAGGTTTTGTACCAATTGTGCTGAGGTCATCCAGGCAAAACCTCAAGAATGAAGACATCTAATTTCAAGAAGGGACAAAGGGATCCCCAATAATTGGGAAGTCACGTCACACCTTGTTCTTGGCTAATACACAGCAGAAGGTGAAGTATGTTTTCCAAATGCCCCTTGTAATGAAACAGTTCTTGAATGTCTTCCCAGGACAAACTGGGAAGGAGAGCACCTATCTACCGCCGTTCCCGCGGTCCTGCAGTCCTGCAGGTGGGCCAGTCCTGCCAACTCTCCAACTCCCCTCGCAGAGCATAAACTGAATCAGGTGGCCGAACCACCGGACGCCAGAGTCCCCAGTGTCCGCGCCCACACAGGGGTAGGCAGCTTCCCAGGCTTTGGGCTGGGGACCCAGGCCAGGTCCCCTGGCTCTTGCTCCCGCCCTCCGCTCATGCTCACTGTGGCCCCAGGACGTGGGCGATGTTGCAGGGAGCAAGGGGCGCCTCTGCCTGACTTGCCGGGGTCGAGCCTCCCTGTCCCACCCCACCAGCCCTGGGAATACTGCGGCCTGGCACTCCCGAAAATCCCTCACTCACAGAGCTGAAGGACTTGCTGGGTCCCTGGTGGCCCCTGTCCAATCTTAGCCCACTGGGGTCTCAGCTGCTGTAGCCACAGGTGGACAGGCACAGTGGGCAGGTGCTGGGTCCAGGAGTCTCCTGTCGCCTAAGGCCGCCCGAAAGCAGCTAACTGACCTCTAAAGCCCCTAGACCCCCCTGCCCCCTTGCCGCCCAGGCAGGCCCGCCCCCACCGCTTGCCCGCTCTGCGATTGGCTGCGCCAGCCGCTGGGCGGGGCCTTCCGGCTTGCTGACTCCTGGCATGTGGAGCAGCTCAGTCCCCTTGCCTCAGTGGAACCGGGGGAGGGGAGCTGGGGGCTACGAAGAGAAGGGTCGGAGGTCTCCCTGGAGGGTTCGGATCAACTAAGTACCCTATTTAATGCCCTGGGCGGGTGGTTTATGAAAAGAAATTTACGGGAGCCCTGTGTGCATTTTCAGCCTAACCCTGCTTTTCCCTTAGGCCTAGAATTTTTGATTAAAATCTCCTGCAGGGCAGAGAGCCAGAGGACTCTAATCCAGTGGTTCCTGTTTAGTCCACAGCAAAGGTGCGGCCGGTTGGAAGAACGCACAGCCTGCAAGCAGAAGCCTTATCTCCCAATTAAGGGTGTAGAAGAATCTGGGCGTGTTGCTGGTGGCTCATGCCTGTAATCCCGGCACTTTGGGAGGCTGAGGCAGGCAGATCACTTGAGCCCAGTAATTCGAGAACAGCGTGGGCACCCTGGCGAAACCCCTTCTCTACTAAAAATACAAAAATTAGCCGAGTGTGGTGGCCCGCGCCTGTGGTCCCAGCTAGTCGGGAGGCTGAGGCACCAGCATCGCCCAGCCCGGAAGGTTGAGGCTATAGTGAGCCGAGATCGCACCACTGCACTCCAGCCTGGGCGAGAGGAGAACCTGTCTCAAATACAAAAAAACAGCAGACAAAAAAACAACTGGTAGGAAAACGCACCCTCAAAACACATGATGAGATGGTCGAGACCAGACCCTAGGAGGGTGGGGACTGGCTGGATGGGTATCCAGAGACCATGGGCGTTTCATAATGCATTGTTTCCAGTCTCCTCCACTCAGCGACTCTTCTTCCCCTGAAGTCTTGCATTAAGTAAGTGAATGAATCAATCATCAAGTTAATGAAGCTCTGACTTTGTACTTGTTGTCCTTTGCTTGGTACAGTTGGGCACTGCCTTAGAAACAATCTCCAGGTAATTTTCCCAACTGCTTTTGTGAGGCCCAGTTTTCCATTTTAAAATCTAAGATTACCTCAGTAATCTTGCTTTTACAGCAAATGGGCATGGAGCCTGACAGATATATTTAAACTAAGTTATGGACAAGCTGCCTGGTGCATTAGGTAGCATAGGAGCTAACCTTGTGGGACATCTCCCCATATTCGTAATATTCACCCGTACATCTGTAATCAATAAATGCTTGTTTGGAGGCCATAGAAACTCTTCCTGAGATCTGACCTGTGTCTTCTGCTATCTGCCTGATTTCTCGCCACAGAACAGGAAAACACTGTGTAGGAGATATTGTGAATAGAAATATGAATATAGGCCGGGCGTGGTGGCTCACACCTGTAATCCCAGCACTTTGGGAGGCCAAGGCGGGTGGATGACCTGAGGTCAGGAGTTTGAGACCAGCCTGGCCAACATGGCGAAACCCCGTCTCTAATATAATGTTTTTCTTTGTACAAATATGTTTCTTTCCATGGATTAAGCTAAGAAGTATTGTCCCTCTGAAATCAATATAAGAAATATTATCAGTGACATTTCTGTCTTTCTTTTGTGCACAAAGAAAAAAAGAGTTTTATTAACTTAAGGACAACTAAACTCTCTTACCTAACTCCTCAAATGTCACCATTAAAAAGGAATTTGAGATACAAACTAGATATAGTTGCATCTGACTTGTAGGTCATAGGAAATGAAAGGTCAATGGAAGCATAATCTTTGAGGGAGAAGAATGCAAGGGAGAAAATGGAAAAGGTATTCATTTAATATTTATTTGCTGATTTTTGTATGATATGGTTCCAGAAATGACAAATAACGTGGGGAATTGAAAGACACAAAACTTTAAAATATATATTATGGATATATCAAAGCATGATAGAGAGGGGGAATCTCTAAGTTTATCTAGGACATTTATCCATAATTCTACCAAAGAAGCGTATCTTAGTTCATCGACTTTCACCTTGTCCCTCCTAAACTCCTATTACTTCTCTATTATTTAAATAAGACTTTGTATAATTAACTTCCTCAAACTATAAAAATATTTATTAGATAAACATATGTATTAGTTAGACAAGTAAAACAAGATAAACTTAGGTTCTGACATTCTGATTGAAATGCAACACCTAAATGCAGTACATGATACAAAACAGGCACCCAATAAGAGAAGTCATGGTCAATCATCACTATCATCATCATCACCACCATCATTATTTGCTAGATATTAATTTAGTTGCAAAGACTAATATGACATGGTCTCTCTCCTCAAATGGAGAGAATAAAGTAGCCAGTGTTTGCCATGTTGAAGGCAATGAGAAACATATTGCCATAGAAATGTGAAAAGCTAAACGATGTCATCTCATTCAGATTTTTCTCAAATTCATTTCTATCAGTCTTCTTGATAGAAATCTGAATGAGATGACATCTGGAAAAGCTGAAGCTGAAAAAAAAAAACAAAGTATGCCAGGAAAGGCACATGAATAAGGAAAGGAATTATAGAGGAAGGAAAAGGATTTTCAAAACTATAAGGGTATTTAAAACTGCAGTCTGTACAGGAGACTCAAGACAGCTCAGGACTGTGCTAATGCAGATCACTTTACAAGTGGCATGACATGTGTTTGCAGAACTAACAAGGACAAGGTCAAGGAAGGTGGGATACGCCATGTAAGGCACTTGGGTTTCGTGTATATGTGATGGTAAAGCACAGAGGGATTTGAAGGAATATTTTACCCCATTCAAAACCTAAAACTGAAGCAAAAGGAGAATTTGATGTAAGAGTCAGATTCCAATTATTTGGGATATGCAGGTGTCCTTCACTTCTTCATGCATATTTTCCAGTTTTTCAAAATGGTCCTTTAGTCTCCCTCATTTCTTAATTATTTTGTAATGCTGCTTAGTTTCTCTGAAATCCTGAGAATATGAACTACACAGAATATGATCCTAGCCTTGAACTATGTTCCTAAATATGTTTTGATTTGTTTCAATGTTAGCAAGTTTACTTTCTCAAATAGATTGTAATCTCTCTGAGGGTGACATCATTTTGCAGGTAAATCAATGGACAACAGAGCTCACTGGGGCCTCAGAACTCTTGTAGTCCTGTTCATTTACTTCATAGAAAACCAGGGAAAAGAGGCTTAAATGACTATCTAAGTGTGCAAAAGCAGCTTATTGCAAAGCAAGAAGACTTCTTGTCAAATCCTCTGGACTGTGTAATTTGCATTCTCTCTATGCCCTCATGCTGTTATGCCCTTCAGACTTGCATATAATCACATTCATATTTAACTCTTTGGTTAAGTTCTTTTTATTAATAGACATTTTAATAGAAAAAATTTAGATTTACAGAAAAATAGGGGAGATTGTACAGAAAATCCCCATATGACCCCGGCATACAGGTTCACCTATTAGTAGCATTTTTCCATTAGCATGGCATATTTGTTAAAATTAGATAATAAATACTGATGCATTATTATGAACTGAAATCCATAGTTTATTCATATTTCCTTAGTTTTTATGTAATGTCTTCCACCTATACCATGGTGGCATCCAGGACACTATGTTACATTTAGTTGTCATAACTCTTTGGGCTTCTCATGGCTATGACAATTTCTTAGACTTTGTTTTTGATGACCTTGATAGTATTGAGGCATGCTAGTCAGATATTATAGAATACATACCCTGTGTTGGGATTTGTTGGTGTTTTTCCTATTGATAAGACTAGTGTTTGGGGGAGGTATATTACAGAGGGAATTTGCTATTTTCCTTACATTTTATCAATGGTACATACTACCAATATAATTTATGACTTTTTAATTTTTTTTTAATTTATGACTATTAATGTTGACCTTGATCTCCTGGATGAAATAGCGCTTGTCAGATTACTCCACTGTGATGTCACTGTTCTTCCCGCTTCCCATACTATACTCTTTGGGAAGAAGTTTCTTACACCAATGCACACTTAAGAAGTGGGAGGAGTTATGCTTTCCCTCCTTTAGTGTGGACTAAGTAATTTAATTGGAATTCTTCTAAATGGGAGGTTTTTCCTCTACTCCCTCATTAATTAATTTATCTAAACACGTATTTATATTAGCATGGACTCACATATTCTGTTTTATACTTTGGTTTAATCATTCCTGACGACTAATAGGTTCAGTTTTAATTTCATCATTAAAATTAATGGAGGAGTTGGCTGGGCGCGGTGGCTCATGCCTGTAATCCCGGCGCTTTGAGAAACCAAGGCAGGAAGATCACGAGGTCAGGAGATCGAGACCATCCTGGCCAACGTGGTGAAACCTCGTCTCTACTAAAAATACCAAAAAAAAAATTAGCCGGGCGTGGTGGCGGGCACCTGTAGTCCCAGCTACTCAGAAGGCTGAGGCAGGAGAATCGCTTGAACCAGGGAGGCGGAGGTCGTAGTGAGCCGAGATTGCGCCGCTCGCTGCACTCCATCCTGGGCGACAAAGCGAGACTCCGTCTCAAAAAAAAAAAAAAAAAAAAAAAATTAATGGAAGAGTTTTCTCCAGTCCTCTTTAATATTTAAAATATTTTTTCAATATTCTATATTTATATTCAATATTCTAAAATATTTTTGAATTCATAATAAATTTTGAGCCAAACAGTTACGTATTTTGCAAAAGCCTGAAAAGATGTCTGCAGATTAGAGAACATGAAGATGTTGTCGTGTATTCTGTTTAAGTAACAACCCTACTAAGTCTATAATGTTAAAATATAGCATTTATGGTTGCAGAAGTTAGTAAATATGATTGTGTATTCAGCGGGAAGATTGTATTAAGAACAAAAAAATGTGTAGTGGATAGATTTTTTTTTTTTTGAGGCAGAGTCTCGCTCTGTCGCCCAGGCTGGAGTGCAGTGGCGCGATCTCGGCTCACTGCAAGCTCCGCCTCCCGGGTTCACGCCATTCTCCCGCCTCAGCCTCCGGAGTAGCTGGGACTACAGGCGACTGCCACCATGCCCGGCTAATTTATTTGTATTTTTAGTATAGACGGAGTTTCACCGTGTTAGCCAGAATGGTCTTGATCTCCTGACCTCCTGATCCGCCCACCTCGGCCTCCCAAAGTGCTGGGATAAATCTTTTTTTATAATCCTAAAGTTAACTAATTTATATCAATTTAACACATATTATTGATCCAGCAAATAATCATTACTCACTGTAGTCCCTGTCTTTGAAGAGCTCCTAAGTACATAGAGACCTAAAACAAATACAATTTTTACAGTGTGGTAAGCACTGCAATAGAAAAATACTCAAAATCTGTGTTAAAAATATTTAACTCCTTTAATCTGGGTACACTATATATTAAAAAGATGAAAGTTTACATATGTTCAAAAATGATTTTAATCAAAGCAAACGAGATTTGTTATTATTGCTTTTATATTTTGTTTCCTCTCACTAGGACACAGCATATTTCAGATATTTTATCATTGGTTGTTCAAAAATCAATGAATGGATGGATTAATGGATGTCAGTTCATACCACGTATTTCAGCTACAGTTAAAAATCTCAGGTTAGAATCTAAAAGGAAATTATCTGAAGAGCACTCTAAGCATTTATGTAATATTTATCTGATTTTTTAATCTAACTTACTTGGTCTGATTATTTACTATTTTTAAAAAAATTCTCAATGATCACTTAATTAAAGTATTCTCTATTAATTCTTCTAACTTTCACACACAAGAAGATCTAATCTTTGTAGTTCTCATTACAATAAAAAAACTACATGAGGATATAATAGTGTAGCATAATTTTTAACTTTGATTACAACCATGTATGTAAATAATACAGGATAAATTGTGAGAACAAGGGGATCTAAGGTAATTTATAATTTCATCTTGTGTAAATGATCAGATAATAGCTGAGAGAGGCTCCTACTTCACAAAATTGATTGTTACAGATAACACAGCAGGATAACTTATTACATGTATGTGATTTTAAATGTTCAAAAAACTTTTCATATTTTAACCAAAGTAGCACAAAAAACAAAGAAATTGATCTGCAGTCATATTTAATAAAATTGCATACACAAAACTTTAAATAGTGTATAAAATAATATAAGCCATCATGCCCGATGAAATCAGAATTCTATCTTTTTAAACATAAAATGGAGCATGTCTTGTTATTTGTACTTTCTGATGCACCACTGCAGGCCACATATAGGCTTATATCTTCTATCTATTGTGAAATCACCTTAAAAAATATCAAGGTTATATCATCCAAATTACTTTAAGGCATGACATAATGGATTATTTCCCTGTGTGATTATGGGATTAACTTCAGCTGGATGTTTAAGTCAGATTTTTTGATATTCCAATAATATGTGTGCTACCTGATTTCTATTAACTTGAATCAAATATATTGTATAGTGTTGAAATTATTACCTGGAAGATCAAACAATTTCCAATTTTACTATTAAATGAGAAAAGCTTCCTGCTTAAAACAAATATTGATCCAAGACCCCTCTCTCATATGGCTAGTACAGAGACCCAGTAGGCACTGGAATAAGTGTACAAAACTGAGGGTGGATACACCAGGGATGAAATAGACAGGAGTAGCCAGACCTGCCAGATTCATGGGGTAAGTTCCAAAATGGAGATCAAATAATACTGTTGTTGCTTTATGAATAGTAATTATTGTCATAACCAACTTAATGCTGTGAGTTAATATGTGCTGATAACTTGTTATATACAAGGTACTTATTTTTAGTGAGAAATTTTAAGGTGATGTGATGGATGCCTCATGCTCATTATCTGTATTTTCCCCAAACTATAATGAATTTGAATATTTGAATTTTTATGGCTCTTCATAACTAGCTTTGAATCTTTTCAGCTTTCTGAATTTTAAATTGTAAATTTTATTAAAAATTAATAGACAATAAATTCAACCCATTCTTGATTCAAAAAAACCTATTTGCCAAAATTTTAAACATAGTATAAAAATTCTATAAACATATACATATGCTTCTCAAAACAATAAATAAGTAAAATGCTCTTTTATTTTTATCATAACAGGACCTAGGCTTTGGATAAAATGACTGCTGAGATGTAAGTTCCATCAGATTGCGACAGAGATGTGTTTAAATTAGAAGTCTTTCAATTCAAAATGATGCACATTGATACTATATAGTATATGCAAATTGACATTTTCTTTTTTCTTTGAAATTATGTAATTTTTTCTTACTGTACCAAATATCACATTATTGAGGTATAATTAATAGGGACTATGAGGAAGTTGTAGATATTATTCAATTTTTAAAATAAAAATGGCAAAATAAATGATAGAGTATTTCTAATCTGGCCTGATTCAAAATATTTTTTTTTCAGTTCTGCCAGAGGAAAAACTATGTTTCTGGTCTTGAAGCTCCCATATATACACATATAATTATATATATACACACACACTCACACACACACACAGAGACATCATTTTTTTTCTTCTTATGAATTTCAATTTAACTTGAATTTTAACGTATTATCTCTGTATGCAACTACAACAACAACAAACAACTAAAGAGGAAGAGTGATTCTTACAAAGCAATTCTTACCAAATTAATCAGTTCTTATTAAGTAAAGTCCTATATATTAATGCACTGAGCAAATAAGCTCAAGTATATTCCTGAAATACAGCCCCTAAAATAGCCCTCAAAGTAAGGTCAAGATCTGGACCAAGGCACTTTCAAGAGGATTCTCTTGTAATTTATAATTGATGCTTAGTAAGATATAGAAAATTTAAGTTTAATAAAAAGAATAAATTGTTCATTGAGTGGTTGAAGAATTCTCAAAGAAAGGAAGCTCAGAATAAACCCTTCCTTACCATATAGAACAGAAGTACTTATCACATTTATGACAGTAATTCCTTGGAGAAAATTCTTTAGAATCTGATGTTTTAAGGTGATTTATTACGTATGGAAATATTGTTAAAACGAATACATAAATGGAATGAATAAGATAACAAAACTTGAAGATTGGTTATAGCATTTTAAAATATGATTGCCATTTTATTTAACATTTCAAGATTTTTAAAGAAAATATTTTTAAAGTACTTATTATAGACAGTGTGATATTTCAGTGAAAGCTGAATGAGTTTGTTTTTAGGCAATGTTGAGAAAATACTACTCTGCAAAAGGCTTGATAAGCTATCACTGTATTGGAAATGTTTATCCAATTTCTACTTACATAAATCACAGCAAGTTGCAATGTTTGTTTAGTAATATGAAAAATAAAACTACAATAGTAGATTAATGTATAAGAAAAATTATATGAGCTCTACCTTTGAAAAAATATTTCAACTAGCCTATCAATTTATATTTTAACTTAATTTCATTAATAATGAACATTATGCAGAGTAATTGAAATTATTTTAAATTTATCATATAATTCCCCCAAATCTTTAATACATTATCTTAAAACTTACACAAATTGCTTTACCTGTTCTATGGGGAAAATGCAGCATTATATTCAATTGTTGAGGAAAGAATAGATTCTACTGGTGAAAATTTTTTCTTATATCATTCAAAGTGATTTATATTCTGTGCAATCAACAATACAAAATGCATATATTGGAAACTCAATCTTCAGTGCTCTCATTTACTCTTGATTCAACAAGATATGTATGTCTCTAAAGTCAATAGCAAAAAATTATTTTGGGAGAGTTATTTGTAATATATTTGATTGATAAGCACAAAAAGAACAGAAAGGAAAAGATCAACAGATCAATGATAGAATAGATCACTGAGTGTTCATTCTTGATTTTGCTTTCATATTTTTGTAATTGTTACAAAGCCTATCACTATTAGGGAGGTTTCTAAATCCCCAAGATCAAACATACCCATTGATGAGCTTAATTATAGCCTCCCCAAAGATAGCCAAACCTTTAATTTCCACAACCTATGAATAAGTAACTTTACATGGCAATAGGAATTTTTCAAATATAGTTCAGGCTACAAACTTCAAGATAGGGAGACTATTCTGTATTATCCTGGCTTCCTCAATCTAATCACGTGAGGCCTTAGATGCAGAGAAATTTCTCTGACTGGAAGCAAGAGAGAAGCGGCAGAAGGGAAAGTCAGATTCCAAATGTCAAGAGGATTTACCATGCTGGCTCTGAGATGTAGGAGGACATGTGCCAGACCAGAGAGGAGTCTTTAAGGAGGAAGGGCAATCCCAATGACAGCCAGGAAGGAAATAGCAGTCTCAGCTCTGCAACAGAAATCTGAATTCTGCCAGCAATCCGAATGAGATTGAAAGCAGTTACTTCCCAGAGCCTTCTTGTAAGTGCCCTGCTGACCAACAGCTAAATTTAATCCTTTGAAACCCAAAGAAGAGAAATTCGCAAATCCAACTCCAACATCTGACCTAAAGAGCTGTGATATAATAAGGTGTTGCTTTAAGCCGCTAGGCTTTTTGTAACATATTTTAGCAGCAATATAAATCTAATACAAGCATGAATAAGTTCCGGAGTTGTACAGAGTGGTGGTTATAGTTAAAAAAATGTATACTTGAAAATTGCTGAGAGTAGTGTTAAATAATCTCACCACGAAAAAAAGTATGTGAAGTGATGAATATGTTAATTAGCTTGATTGTGGTAATAATTTCACAATGCATGCATATATCAAAACATAACATTGTATGCTGCAAATATATACAATATTTACTTGTCACCCATACATTAATAAAACTGAAAAAAAGAAAAAAATACTGAATCTAACACAAGCAGCATCTATCTTTATTAACTTATATTTATTAACTTATTATTGTTACTCTTCCTAAAAGTTTCATTCAAATAATTTATATAGATACACACACACACACACACACACACACACACACACATATATATATGTATACTTTAGGCTATTTTATTTGTATAACAAGAGCTAGGAAAAAGAACATTAAGTCATTGAGCAAACAAAATAAATTTTCAAATTCAAAATTTCTAAATAAAATCTTCTTACTGAACAATGTCTTGTCAGCTTATTCAGTACTATGCTGGCAAATATTTGATTACGTGTATGATAATTTGTATAATTTTTAGTTATGTCTAATTTTTTAAAAATTGATATCTAAATATCCATGTCATCTTAATATAAAACTTAAAAAAAAGACTCTTGATTATATGGCATTGCTTCATTAATTTCTTTATTTCCCTGGAGAAAAGCAGGTAGTACACTTATTTTAAGTCTCTCTTTTCCATTTCTTCCAAGTTCATTGAAAGCTTTTTCATATAAAATTTTCTCTATCATCAGTAATGGTACTAAGAGTAGCTAATTGATTATTTAAGCTTACCATGCATTAAGCAATGTATTAAGTGCTTTACATTTAAGACTCTTAATAATGCCATGAAAGAAATACTATATTTTCTCTATATTTTCGATAAAAATCATGAGACCCAGTGATAAGTTGCCCACGTTAACCTATCTGATAAGTGGAACTGCCTGATTCTCTGAACCACAAGTTATTTAAGTCTGTGCTTTTAAGCACTATTCTGTCCTGCTTTCCAACTAGCTAATGTGGGCTTGGGCCCTGGTGATTTTTCTATCTACTAAATAATAAAAAAGTAAATTCAAATATTTTACTCCAACACTAACTAGAAAGCAATATATGCTAAATAGTTCTGGTTTAGATTTGTTATTTCATTTTTAAAATTACATATTTCCAAGTGTTTCTGGTTTTGTATACATTCTTTATGAAATGTTTACTCTTTTATTCAAAACCATCTTTATTCAGCATCTCCTGTGTTGTAGATATTGGTCTAAGTCTGAACAGAAACAGCATATGCAAAAAAAAAAAAAATAGCCCTCATAGAATAGGTATTCAATTCTAGGTCTAGTGTGAAGTGATAAGCAAAGAAATTAGCAAAATATATAGTAGATCATATGATAATCGAACAGATAAGGAAAAGCAGAGCAGATAAATAAAGTGTGATGAATAAGGGTGTTACTTAATATGGTGAAGTGAGATAAGACTTCACTAGTGAGGTGACATTTGAGCAGAGACTTGAAGAACGTCAGGGATTGAGCCACACGGGTTTCTAGAATAAGACCTTTCCAGGAAAGGGGAAGAATAAATGCAAAATTCATGAAGCAGGAGTGTACATAGCATGTTTGCAAAAACATCATAAAGACAGCATAGTTGGATCAGAGTGAATTAGGGATAGATACATATACTATTAGGTCATAAAGCTTGTGGGGACCAAATCTGTTGATCTGAGTGAGATAGAGTGATGCGATATGGCTGGTGTTGACATAATTACTAGAATACTATGTTCTAAACAAACTCTATGATGTTAAAGGTAGAAGGATTTCTATTTAAAAAGCTTATCAAAAAACAAGGTTACTACAAGTCACAGCTTGAGCTAGGGTGGTAAAGGTGAAAGTTATGAGATGTGGTATGATAATGCAATTAATGAGAGATTCATTGAAAAAAGAGAGTCAAAGAGGATATCAACGTGGATTAGATATAGCAAAAGAGAGAATAAGAGATATCAAGGATGACTCAAGGGGTTTTAGTTTTAGCAATTTGAAGAATGGGTATTACACTTGAGTCAAGTGGGAAAGATGACAGAAGGAGCTTTTTTGAAAAAGAATATGAGGAGTTTGATTTTGAACATTATAATTGAGACTTGTATTGGACATCCATATAGAAAGGTGGGGTAGATAATTGGATATATTAGTATGGAATTCAAGGGAGATGTTCAGACTGGTAGGTTTATATTATAAATGAGATTTCAGATCATAGGACTAGATTTTTTTTAGTAAACACTTTTATTGAGCCATAATTATACACACAGAAAAGTGCACAAATCATACATTTACAGCTTGATAAATATTCATAAGGTGAATGCATCTGTGTAACCAGCACCTAGATCATGAAACATAACACTACCAGCACCACACAGTCCCTTTGTACCCTCTTTCAGTCCTACTGAGTTAAAGCCAGTTGAAAAATAATGTATACTATAGGGTTCCACTCATATAAAATTCAAAAACAGACAAAATTAATTGATGGTGATTTTGATAATGCTTACCTTTGGGAAGACAGGTAGTGACTGAAAGGGGGTGCTGATTTCTGACACCATACATAAATGCCATCTGTTTTGAAATTCATCAAAATGGAATCAAAGTATGCACTTGTGTCTGGTGAAGCCTACTGATATTTGTATGTAAATTGTATTTAATAGCTACTTTACTAAATTCTTTTATTGTTTAGTTTTTCAACAAGTTCATTTGGGCTTTCTAGATATATATTCATATCTGCAAATAGTTTTACCTCTTCCTTTCCAATTCATGTCTTTATTTTGTCTAACTTCATTGGCTAAAACTCTCAACACATTGTTAAGTAGCAGAGGAGTTAGTGGGCATGTCTTGTTCCTGACTTCACCTGGAAAGTCTCTTTTGATTTGAAATTTAAGATGCTGGCTTTTAGGTAGAGGTACAATGTTAATGGATTATTCATTGATTTCTACTTAGTATATTTAACATAAGTGATTGCTCAATTCTATCATGTCTTTTCTGCAAAGATGAAGATTTTTTTAACTGAATATGATGAATATGAACAGATTATCTAGTATTGAATTACCCTTGCATTCTTATAATAAGCCCAACTTAGTCATGATTACCTTTTGAAAGTGCTGTTGGATTGTTTTCTAATATATCATTAAAACTTTTTATTAATATTCATGAGATTGCTCTATAATTTTCTTTTTGGTACAATCTTTGTCAGGTTTTTAAATCAATGCTATTACATTCACTTTAAATAATGAATTTAGGAGTTTCTTTTTTTTTTTGGCACTTTGAGGTTCAATATTATTTTCTTAGTCTCTGGAATTGCTTAAGCAAGAACAGGATTATTTAATCTTAAAAGGTTTGGTAGAAATCCCCTTGAAACAATCTGGGCTTGATGCTTCTTTTGGTAGGGGGTGCTTTTAAGTATTTGTTTCTTCTATGGTAATTGGTTTGTTGTGACTTTCTTTATCTACCTAGAGTAAATTATGGCAATTTGTATTTTTCTCAAAATAGTTTTCGAATTTATTGTGTAAAATTGCTCAAAGTAGTCAATTTAAACAAATTTCCTGTTTTACTATTTCCCCCTTGTCATTTAAATTTTTGTATTTGTGCTTCCTCCTTTTTTTCTTAAATAGGTTAGCTGGTAGTTTATCTCACTCAACTCCCCGCACTACCTATCACCAACTTGGATGTATTGCCTCTCTTGTTTTGGTTTTCTACTAGTAATTATTTTTTGCTTTTATCTTTATTCATTCCTTCCTTCTGCTTTATTTTGCTTTTTACTCCAAGTGTTTGGTACTTGGTTAATTTTCACCTTTTCCTACTTTTACTGATAATTGTACTAATTACTATAAATTTCCTGTCATATTTGCATTTTACTTTTTTGCAAATATTAGGTTTTTATCTGTCTTGTGGTCATTTCTGGTGTGCTTTCATTGTCTGTAAGGATGTTGATCTATTTATTCTCTTATTTCTTTTTTTTTCAGTTTTTAAAGCCTCAGCTTTCTTTTTTTATTATTATTATACTTTAAGTTTTAGGGTACATGTGGACAATGTGCAGGTTAGTTACATATGTATACATGTGCCATGCTGGTGTGCTGCACGCATTAACTCATCAACTTTGAATGGAGTTTGACTGTAATCCTGGCTCAGTTACTCTTTTTTTCCCCTTAACTGAAATGAGTTTTTCTGTACTTTTAGGAGGGAGGAGTGGCTCTAGGATGACTTCACAGCCTTAGAGGTCCCATTTTCACAGTGATTTAAAAGAATATATATATATATATATATAATGAAAATACATATATATAGTGTCTCCGTATCTTGACCTTTCTTCCCAATACTTATCTAGATCTTCTTTCTTTTGTCCTATTTTACCCATCCTGCCCATTTGGATTCTAATTCTAGAAGTTTGTCCTCAGTGCTGGGCTTTGTCTCATAAGCTTCAAGAGGTACACAGTGTAAAACCCAGACTGCTCTAATGCGATCATCAGACCTTATCATATTGCTTTAACATTCATCTGCAAATGGGATTCTGTAGTCACTTCCCAGTTTCAGTGCCTGTTCTTAGATTGGCCTGCCACACTTTGTAGTGAGAAACTGTGGGCAGTGTTGTCGTTCTCCAGTTTGCAGAGCTGTCAGAAACCAGCTGCCTTCCTTCTACTTCCTTCCACAGATGCTGAAACTATGTGGGTCAGTGGTTTGTCCTCACTTAGTTGTATTTTGAAGTTCATGGAGATACCTTGTCATCTAGCATTGTAAGAGTGTCTGTGGCTATCCTAGTTGCTCTGTATTTTTATGGGGAGATTAGAAAACAACACTGTTGTCACCGTTTTCCCTGAGGTTAAACTGTTAAGACCTCTTTCTGTTGTAGAAGAGAGGTTTTAATTACAAAAATAATTTTATGATCATTATAAAGAAACTATAATTTGAAATTTGCTGTATTCCAGGTACTATCCTAAGTGCTTTATCTGTATTATCTCATTTAATCCTAAACCCTGTGAGTTAGGTTTTACCTATTTTCCTTATTTTATCAATGGGAGAGTTAGGGTCCAAGATCTTGCTGCTGAACTGGCAAATCTGGGATTTAAACCCAGGTCATCTGATTCCAGAGCACCTCCTCATTAACTGTCTCTCAAAAATGATCAGGTCCAACAGTTTTCAAATTATATACCACTGTCAGCAAGATTTCTATATGAATTTAGATTAAATATAAATAACTATTTAAAGATCTGATAACATATATATTATAGATCAAATCTAAAAACACTGAAATGATAAACAGGTTAAATTATGCCACATGATCTGATTAATCTTATTTGTATGCAGATGCTCAAAACAAAGCTCCTCCTCCTACCTTCTAAAAAAAAATACCACAAAATTAGGGGGCAGGAAGGAGACGAGTAGGGAGTAGGAAATAGAGCTTTTTGAGATTTTGGACTTCATATTTCCCATTATTATATCACTCCTGCTAAGGAATAAAGTATATATGTGACATATTGCTTATAATTTATTTAATCGGTAAATATTTTTCTTGTAAATAACTACGTAGAAAAGTTAGAAATAGTTTCTCCCCAGTTCACACTGGCCTGCTATTTTCTGGTCAATTAAGTTGCTGTGGAATGTGAACATTTACTAGTCCATAAAGTTTCACAAGAAAGTCTCCCACAAGTATATCAATTAGAAGCTTACTAAAATTTATAATCTTATGGTATTAAATTATAAGGAGTTAGAAAATGTTTAGCCTTCTGAAATACTTTTAGATTGGAATTTTTCTCTAACTTACATTCATGAATACAGTCACTGTTACTACCTTTATTACCTTCTAACCTTTCTTGGTGATATAGAAAAAACAGTTTGGGCTTTTTATATAGTCCTAAAGCCATTATGTATATGCTACTTCAGCTTCCAATGTCTAAGAGATGACTTAGTTTGAGATATGGATGTCTTAATCTGCCATGATTTAAATAGTAGCAACTGGAATAACCCACAGAAGGATAACATCTGTTATTAGGCTTATTTTTTCCCCCACCATCAGAAGATTTATTTTATTTCTAATTAAACAACATACAGTTGACTTTGGCAAACTCAGGTTTAAAACTAAGCATGCCAATAATAAATGAATCATTTCTCCAAGTACATAGTGTTTCCCTTGGGAAGGACTGTTATTTTACAACATTTTTTTCTCTAATTTAGAAAAAAAGATAACATTTAAAATATTACAATGCCTAAACAGTGATACCAGTAATCTAGTTTTTATACTGATGTTTGTATTTCAACGTTTATTATCACCAAGACTAACTTAAACCCAACTCCTTTAGTGAAGAGATTTCTTTCCCTATTTCAGTACTAGACTCATAGTTCTGAATGTCACTGAGCAAGTAATGGATATGAGTTATTGATTAATTACGAATGAAGAGTTTTTATACTATCTCCTTTATAATTAGCTAGTTCATAGACTTAAGAAAACAAAACAATGAACAAAAACAAAACCCTGGTTCTTACCCTCTAAATGCTTACATTTCCCTCTCACTTACCAGAAAATATGAGAATAAAAATGACCATGTATAGAGTTGCACCACTGAATCTATTTGAATGGTTCTGTTTTTGTATTTTTTTACTTATTTAATTTGAAAAAAATTAGAAAAGTATTAGTTTGAAATCAGAGCAGCTAACACACTGGGGGCAACAAATTAAAAAATTCAAATGGCTAAAAATAAAAACACGAAGTATCTTTCCTTCTACATAGAAAAGATTGTTTTTTTTCTAGAAAGCCAAAAATAAGGCAACTAATGATTTGAGAATAAAATCAAACATAACTGGTATTCACCACAGCAATGTCTAAATAAATGACCCACATAACACAAAACTTCCTCATTCACAATCACATATAGTTAAGTTGCTTTTCCCTCAGTTACATAATAGTTGTCTTCAAACAATCTCCTTTTAGAAAACTATCACATTAGTTAAACCTATCTATTCTAACTATGAAGTTATTAATTTCATTTATATAGGCCACACAGGTTTAATTGGCACACTTTACTTAAAAATAAGACAAAATAAGTCACTCTGCTTTAAAAAAAAATTATGGTCATCTGTTTTCAAAGAATAATCCCAGATACTTAATTCATTAAGGCAAATTTTCTACCATCAGCAGTGAGCTTTTTAAATGATTACTAACTGTTCACCTGAAGATTATCAATGCTATATGAAGTGTAAATTTGTTTTGCAGATTTGTGTCCATTTTATAACAAGATACAATTTGCACTGAAGAGTTTTTAAAAAGATAACCTACACACATACACTTAATTTGCCTCAAACAACTTCTTTGAAATACAGTATAAACATTTAAGAACCATGACAAAGTTGTGGTTCAAACTTCAACAAAGATTTTCTTGAAACCCAGTACAAAGATTACTGGCTCAAGACCATACCCCAAAGTGACATCAGCAGGAGATTTGATTGTAAGACTCTACCTTTTAAAAAAAGAGCACACTTGGTTATACATGGCTTTTAAACTTGAGCTACAGTTATGCTACAAATCCCCCCACCTTCCCAATCTAAAGTCAGTCATGTAGAGATATGTACATTCTCTGAGCATTGTTTAAGAGTCCTTGGTTTTCCAGCTTTGATGGAGATCTAGAAGGCGTTCAGAAGTCTGTGTGCTTACATTCAGAGCAAGATGAACTTAACAAATTCCACTTTCCTCCATTAGTGACAGGCCACAGATCCCAAAGTATGCATGCAAAGCACCTGGATTACTGGCCACTTGGCAAATCCCCCTACAAGGCGATCTTGAGTTGATAAGATGTAATTTCTATTTTTCTCAAAGTTAGTGTATTGGAAAATTTTTAGAAGCTTTAGAGTTGCTCCCACCCAAAAAGAATAACCGGTGTCTACAGGCTTATTAGGTCTTCCACGATAACTATTTTGTTGCCTCATACACCACCTCTTTATCCTGTTCAATTCTTTTTCTGAAAAAACTTCTTCTAGTTTACCCATCAGACATAGTGAGGCAATGGCACAAAAAGTAGACCCTCCATGAGATTCAAGTCCAGCTCCCTGTGCCAGTCCATTGTCATAGGACATACTTCTTCTAATATAGGAGATGGCTTTTTTCATATCCATGCCTGACCGGTTGTTGAGCATATAGCAAATACAGGAAGTACAGTACAAAAATCGCATGTCATTTTCACTGCCTTCAGGTACTGCACAAAAACTCCCATCTTCCAGCTGAAGGGCTCTCAAGCCTGCTAAGCAAGCTTCTTTATTTACTCGGCTTAAGTCGTCTCCAAGAATAAGTAAGCATGAAAGGCCAGTGTAGGTCATTGCAATGTGGCCACTATCATAAGGATGAGCTGTTCCAGGAGCCTTTGATGGATTGAAAAGAATACCCAGGTATGAAGAGCCTCGGAAACCACAGCGATTTAGATTTGATCTGTCTTCTGTGGGAAAGACCTGCTTGTCTCAAGTGAAGAACAGCGCTCCGGCAAAACCTCGAGGCAGCGCTGGAAAAATCGCACGTGCAGATCCCGCAAGAAATCCAGCCGCTCTCCCTCACCGCTCCCTGCTAGCCTCTCCTCCTCAGTGGCCGCCATGCTGCTCCGGAAGCGACGTCGGCCTCGACCTAGATGATGTTATTAAGAGATGGAGTGAGTTTAGATAGAGAAAAAATGTACACCTGAGTCCTGAACCCTTTTTACCCCAAGGTTTAGAGATTAGACAGTATGAAGTACCTGCAAAGGAGATTAAGAAACTAGGTAGAAGGAAAACCTGGAGAGTGTTGTCAACTGAAAATACAATGAGGATATTTTTGTCAACAAGGAGAGAGTCATCAACTGTATGAAATGCTGCTGCTACTTGGGAGGCTGAGGTGGAAGGACCATTTGAATCCAGGAGGTTGAAGCTACAGTGAGCCACTGCCCTCCAGCCTGAGTGACAGAGCAAGATCTTGTCTCCAAAAAGAAACAAAAATGTTGCTGATAATTCAAGCAACATGAGTATGGAAAATTGACCATTGGATTTAGTGATTTGGTCATTGACAGTGTGGTTTCAGGAATGTGGTAGTGATAAGACACTGATTAGATAGGGTTCAAGTGTGAATAAGAGCAGAGAAATATAAAAAAGAGTAGATTTGGGAGGCCGAGGCGGGCAGATCGCGAGGTCAGGAGATGGAGACTATCCTGGCTAACATGGTGAAACCCCATCTCTACTAAAAATACAAAAAATTAGCCGGGCGTGGTCACGGGCGCCTGTAGGCCCAGCTACTTGGGAGGCTGAGGCAGGAGAATGGCGTGAACCCGGGAGGCTGAGCTTGCAGTGAGCCGAAATCGCGCCACTGCACTCCAGCCTGGGCAACGGAGCCAGACTCCGTCTCAAAAAAAAAAAAAAAAGTATAGAGAACTTTAAAAAGTGTTATCAATGGGGCCAGGCGCTGTGGCTTACGCATGTAATCCCAGCACTTTGGGAGACCGAGGCGGGTGGATCACTAGGTCAGGAGTTCAAGACCAGCCTGGCCAAGATGGTGAAACCCTGTCTCTACTAAAAATACAAAAAAAAAAAAAAAAAAAAAATTAGCCGGGTGTGGTGGTGGGCGCCTGTAATCCCAGCTACCCAGCTACTCAGGAGGCTGAGGCAGAAAATTGCTTGAACCCAGGAGGCAGAGGTTGCAGTGAGCCGAGATCACGCCACTGCACTCCAGCCTGGGCAACAGAGCAAGACTCCCTCTCAAAAAAAAAAAACGTTATAAATGAGTTGTAATAGGTGCTATAAGTCCTATGAGGTTCCACAGCATGAAACATATGAGACAGTATGCTAATGAGTATGATAGAGTAAAGGGGGTACATTTTATAATCCTGAGGAAGGAACACTTGTGGGAGTAATATCCTTGAACAGACTAAAGTGAAGTTAATTCTAGAGTCATCAGGAATAATATCACATAACAATAATAAAACACCAAAAGTCCTCTATTACTTCTTTCCAATTTTTTGTCAACTGTAAATTTAAGAGAAAATATTGATTGATCCTATCCTGAATTTGAGTAAATACAGTTTTTTGTTTTTCTTAATAAAATATGATTTATAATTTTTCCAGAAGACAAACGACTTTCTTTAACTTCTGACCCAGTCTATTTGTAGTGTATAAAAAGCTGTATCACTATGTGATACATTTAGAGAAAGGAACTCCTTTTTTTTTCTTGATTAGTAATTTTTTTTCTTGTATCAATTGTGTTCACCTGGGGAATATAAATTTATATTTAACTCTTATGCCTGACAAGATGCTGACATTAGTAATGATATATAAATTAACTAATAGTAAGTTTTAAATGGTAATTAAGCCTTGATATAATTTAAAGCAGAAACATCAAGTCAAAAACAAATTCAATTTAGTATACTCTTAAACTCTTTAAGGTAAAAGTGTAAGACTTTTCACAAAATGCAATGCTGTGAAAATGAAGCTTTTTTCAACTTTATTTCACTAGTTTATCTCTTTCTTTCTCTGTTTTCATCATTTCTCCCCTGCAGTTGTTTTATGCCACTCTCTCTTTCATGAATTGTGTTTTGCACGATTTTTCTGGCAATGGAAATGTAAACATCTTACTCATTTTTATTGTCTTATTTTAATTGTTGCTGTATTTTTTTCTTATTCCAGATATATTGCATGATTAAATTTCTCAACTAGAAGATATACAACTATAGACTATATTTCACACAAAGACACTGCACACCCTATTACGGAGGAAAAGTGATGATTCTTGGTGTTACCATTTAGACAACAGAGCACAGAGTATTTAGGGAAAGTTATGAATCCTAACATTAAAGAGCAGAATGTTCTTGCCATGTGAAGCATGAAAAGTAATGTGAACATAACCTTCTCTTCTTGTCTATGAAATTGTGTTTCCAATGGCAAAGCTTTCTCAATATCATTACCCTCTGGGGGTTATGCCATGTCCTAAAGTAAAGAGTCTGTACTTTGAAGTCAGCATGGCTTTGGATGACTTTCTTAATAGATCTGAACTTCCAATTTCTCATCAATAAATTATTATCTTTCTCATTGGTTTTAACAGTGATTATACAGGCTGATATATATAAAGTACTTTGCATAAAGAATGGCACATTGTAGAAGGTCATTAGGTATTTTTTTCACTGTAATACAGGTAATAATTTTGATGTTTTAAAACGTGTTTACTCATTCAATAAATCTATTGGGTGCTTACTATGTCCAAACAAATTTCTGAGTACCAGGGTGAGAGTAGTTTAAAAAATAAAAGACAGAAGTTTTTGCTGTCCTGGAGCTAATATTCTAGTTTTTATCTTGACATCATTTTGAATTTTCCTTTCTTTTCCATTTGTGATTGGTCTCTCTAAACTTTTTTCATCTTTTAAGATCTTTTGCACTAAACAGGTTGAGAATTATAGCGCATGTAAGTTATTCCATTTTCCCATTAAATGTCAGCATTTAAGATTTTGATACATACCATTTTTTGGTAAAAATGTATTTAGCTCAACAAAGTAAAATAAGTATGGCTATAGCAATTATTTGCCATATAAGGTATAATGGCAGCATTAAAATGTTCATGCATGTGGTCTATGTGAAATTTTGTCTAAGAGAGTTGAAATCAGTCTAGATTCTTAAAGCAGTGGAGAAAAACAGATTTCTATTTATTTTCTCCCCAACTTGTGGGTAGATAATTTCTTTTAAAGTATCAACCTCAAACAAACATTATATGACATAGCTTTTTACCTGTTGGATCTTTTTATAATTTGAGTTTATGCTTATTTTCTCATTCATAGTGAGGATACAGAAATATTTTTATGATATGCCTAAGTAAAAAGATTTGCCTCTAACTTTTTTTCTAATGAAAAATAAGCAAGACTTACAAAAAAAAAACTTCTTCTTACCAGGCTCTTTGAGGGCAAAGGTTGCTTCTCATCTCATTTATTTTGCCTTACGCATTGCCCTTTCTCACTTGAATTGCTTGCATGGAACTATTCATTGTCTTCACTTCCCTGACATATACTCAAAAGGCATCTTCATTTGGGACCATTTTGAATTGATCCTCCGTGTTTACCTCTTACTCAGAGCATATTTTTTCCTTGGTCTATCCTTTTTTTTTTTTTTTTTTTTTTTTTTTTTTTGAGACGGAGTCTTGCTCTGTCGCTCAGGCTGGAGTGCAGTGGCAAGATCTCGGCTCACTGCAAGCTCCGCCTCCTGGGTTCATGCCATTCTCCTGCCTCAGCCTCCCGAGTAGCTGGGACTACAGGCGCCCACCACCACGCCCGGCTAATTTTTTGTATTTTTTAGTACAGATGGGGTTTCACCCTGTTAGCCAGGGTGGTCTCGTCTCATGACCTTGTGATCCGCCTGCCTCGGCCTCCCAAAGTGCTGGGATTACAAGCGTGAGCCACTGCGCCCAGCCTTTCCTTGGTCTACCCTATCGACACATGTTCCAACAGATGAGGTCATGAGGTTTACCCTAAGCTACATGACCTGCTCGGCTTAATAGTTCTCTAATAGTCATCATTGAAATTGCATGTAAACTGGGTTGTCACAAAGAGGTATTTTATGCAGCAATCAAAATTTGGTAATACATCATAATACTTAATACATTTGAGCATTCTTGGACTTAAAATCTTTATTTTTTATTTTTTTACTCCAGGCTACACTTTCTGCCCTAAACACAATGAGTCTGGCACACCTTTGCATAACAGTGGCTCGTAGGAGTCACATTTCTCTAGGTTTTGTAACAGATTCTGAAGGGAAATAGATGAAAAAAGCATGCCAGTGAATTTAATATACTGACAGGCTCATGTCTTCTCTTACTATTTACTGTGTTCTTGTACTTTGAATTAGCAAATCTTAAAATTTCTGTATCTGATATGGCAAGCTCATTCAGGGAATCAATTTTTGATCAGTTTGTGCCTGGAATAAAGCTAGACATGAGAGATAACAAAGTTTAAGATACTTAGAGACCACTGAAAAAAATATGTATTTATTTTTCTTTGCCTTACTTTCTACTCCAGTTTGCTTTCATCATTACATGGTGAGCCCGGGACAAGAAAACCTTGGTAAAAGTTCTTTTTCTTCTTCAGGATGATAAAAAAATCTCTTTTTACTTTTAAAAGTTAGATCTAATACATTATATTTGCATGTTAATAGGCTATCATAAGTTCCCCTAGGAAATTTGCAGATTTCTCATGAAACCTAGAAAAAGGCTAAATATTTTGTACTAATAATTTTTTCTTGTTCTATTTGTTAATCTATTCATGTATTTACTTTTTATGGATATGCAAGAGTTGTACATATTTATATAGTACATGTCTTATGTATCTATAACAAGTAAATGTGATATTTTGATACATGCATACTATGTGTAAAAATCAAATCACCGTATTTAGGTTATCCATCACCACAAAGGTTTATTATTTATTTGTTTTAGGAACATTTCAAATATTCTCTTTTGGCTATTTTGACATATACAATAAATTAGTAACTAGTCACCTTACAGTGCTATTGAACTCTAGAACTTATTTCTTCTACCTAATTGTATGTTTGGTCCCATTAACCAAATAAGCTCCGCACAGTTCCATGATTACTCTCCAGAGCTATTTTCTCCAGTTAGCAATATAAGTACATGCAGTTGAGAAAGGGTATTTTCAAAGTGGTATTAGATTCTACCCTTATTGAAATTTGAAACTTCCTAACATCTGTATTCTTAGTGTCTCGTGGAATCTGAGCTACAAATTGTGAAATGTATTCTGGCTTTGTACACATATATGACATCTCACTGTTTACCACCTGTTGTAGTGCACCAATATTGTAAAGGTTTGCTGGCAAAGCCCTGCGTTTCTTTTTCCCTGGTATTACCCTTTGTGTTTACCTGTACCAACCACCTGGCACTCTCCTGCTTTCACAAAAAAACAGGGTGGGTCCATCCTCAAAATAAGCCTCCCTGTTACCCAGAAATAGTGATGAAATAGTGTCCTCTCACAGATGGTCTGTGATGTATACCTTATCTGAATATCTAATCATGACAAGTAGTCAGGGATTAACTACAATTTGCCAGAATCAACTTAACTTGTGACACAAATTTATGCTTTAACAGCAAAAAAGTATAAAAAGATTATTTCAAGATGACAAAAGCTTTGGCAACTATACCTTGTATAAAATGTGTTTCACAATTGTATTTCATTTTATTGCCCCATGTGTAAACAGTTCAAATGTGTGAATGCAATTAGGAAATATTTCTTTCATAATAAAAACAGTGTTTTTATGATTGCACTTTAAAAAATGCTAGTTAAAATGTTTAAGCATTTCATAAATGCTCAATTTAAAATAAACATTTTAATCCTTTGGAATGATGAGGTTACAATGCTTAAGCATTTCATAAGTGTTTACTCTAAAAGGAATGTTTTAACCATTTAAGATGGTTTAACAAAAAGTATTTTGGGGTTTTAAAATACTTTTTCAAACAAGACAAACATAAAGTTATAGCTAAAATCTCAACAGTATGGTGTTTGATTTGAGAGACTGAAGGTATTTGTTTCATTTGGTTTTACTGAATGATTCGTCAGCTATGCCGTAAAACTTAGAAATATCAACTCTTGGGCTCATAAGAATGCTTTATTATCTTCATTGTCACTAGTTATTACTTGAGATATTGCAATCTAACTTTTTCTTCAAAAGACTGTGTTTTTCTAAACATATTCAACCCAGCCTAGATAAAATTCGTGCATTTTTTTGTAAAGTACAACATGTTCTGCTAATATCTCCAGCAAATTTTTTCTTGAAGTTAATTTAAATGTAAATACTTTTACAACATGAATTTCACCCTAATTGACATTTCTTATAAGACAAGAAAATGCATACATTTTCCTTAACTTTTACTAGCATCTATTCCCCAGAATACTCCAATTACTTATGAATAATATTTCAGTTCTGTATTAAAAATTTCTCTGTAAAGCTTGCACTTTGATTATAGACATAGGTTGGTTTGACTGACCAGAATGCTTCCTTCATTATTTTGATAAAATAATGGTAGTTTTTCTTTGGAGAATTACCCCTTACCTGTTTTGTTTTGTTTTGTTTTTGAGACAGAGTCTTGCTATGTCACTCAGGCTGGCTGCAACCTCCACCTCCCAGGTTCAAGCTATTCTCCTGTCTCAGCCTCCTGAGTAGCTTGGATTACAGATGTGTGCCACCACGCCTGGCTAATTTTTGTATTTTGGGTAGAGACGGAGTTTCACCCATGTTGGCCAGGTGGGTCTCAAACTCCTGATCTCAAGTGATCCACCTGTCTCGGCCCCTGAAAGTGCTGGAATTACAGGCATAAGCCACTGCGCCCAGCCACTTCCCTGTTCTTAATCCATTGGTTTCAAAACCTGACAGCCTAGCTTCAGAGTTGAGCATATTACCTAGGTCATTCTGTTTCTTGACATCTATGACTAATTAATATGTCATAAACATGACCCAAACTACACAAAATTAGTATCAGTTTTAAAATTTTGACTGGAAATGCCTGAAATAAATTGTTTTTGGGGGGCAAGGTTCAGGCAGAAAGGCAAGGAGTGTAGAATTTTAGAGTTTGTTGTGGTCATATTTACCAACATTAGATGTGAGATTTTATTATTCAGAATGCTTTGATGTATCAAAACCTCAAAATGCTGCAAATGAGAAATCAAAACATTCATGGATTGAATATATACCTTGATTTTGTGGCTCCAATTTACTAAAAAAGCAGTCTGGCCAGTCCAGGAAATATGTCATTTCTCACTATTCCCGGCACATCAAGTTTTTCCTCACATTAAGGTAATGTTTCAGCATGTGCTTATTTTGTTTTTGAATATAATGGTGCATGGCTGTTTGGGCTCTCAGAATTTTTTAAGCCATTAATTTTATCTCAGGTCTTTTTTGCATTCCACACCTTCCTGCATACTAACTAGGTGTGTAAATTTCTTTTAAAATCACATAAATTTTCACTTAAAATCCTTACCAGTCCAAATCAATTCATTCTTCCTCATGATATATATTCCTTTTCTATTACCTCAGAAATAAGTTAATAAAATACTTTACTGTTATCATTTATTTCTGATTGTAAAGTAATGATACAATAGATTTAGATCCTCATTTTAGCCATCATTTTATCATGATCATGTACCACTGAACTTAAAAGTTGGAAAAAAAGCAATCTAAATTTCCTCTGAGTTCCAATCCCATGTAATTTATAAAATTTTGGAAGAACACAGGTAGGTACTCAGAGTAATCAACTTAGCTTTGGAAGAATTTAATTTTTTATTATCTGCCACAACCATAGCCTGGTGAATTGATTTAAATCATTGAGCTATAATTGCTTTTTGAAGATTTTTTATTTTTCCCCTTCTTGTGAAGTAGTAATTAACAAAATGTAAAAATCTAAATTCAATATATAATTTCATGTTGTAAAATAAAGGTTACACATGAAATATAGTTAATGGTCAAATAAATTCTTTGTTAAGACTGGGGACCTTTGCAATTTGTGAGAAACATTCACACACACACAAAGTCTGTAAACAAAGATAAAATGTTTTTGCTGAATAATGTAATTGTCATTTCCTTCTCCCTTATTGAAAGAGAGGTGTCTGTTTACCTGGATTGTTGCTTAAATCTGCCACAAATTTGTTACTCAAAACCTTATTTATTATATTATAGCAAATAGGGTAATAATTACTGTCAGAGAAGGGGACATACTTTTTGTAACTCTTTACATTTTTCTTAAAATACAAATTCTGTTATATAAATTTTGATTTTGAATCTTTTAATTATCTTTTCACTACCTCCCACACATCCTCTAAGTTTTCTTTGTCTTTTTCAACTTCAGTATACAGATTTCAGCAATACTGTAATTTTTTACTGAGTACTTAACATATATAAGAAAAAGATACTTTACAATTTCCACATGCTGTAATGAAATATGTTGAGCTTAGTTTATGTTAACTGCATCTAGTTCTTGTTTGATTTCTTCTTTTTTCCTCTAAAGTTATATTTTATCTTGCAAGTTGTGTATGTGTATTAGTTATGTATTTGTTTAACAAATTATCCAAAATCTTAGTGGATAAAGCAGCAAACATTTATAATCTCACAGTTTCCATGAGTCAGAAATTCAGAGAATGCTTAGCTGCATTGTCTGTGTCTGAATATCTCACAAGGCTAAAATCAAGGTGTCAGTTGGGCTATTGTTATCCCAAGGTTCAACCAGTGATGAGTCCACTTTTACAGTGACTCAAGTAGCTGTTGGTGGGACTCAGTTCCTCTATGGCTATTCTTAATTGGTGGTTGGCAAGAGGCCTACTTCACTGTTTTACCACATGGATGTTACCCATAAAGCATCTCACAACATGGAAGCAGCTTCGACAGGGCTAATAAATAAAAAGGCAAAAAAGAATGTGCAAGAAAAAAGTCAAAGGCTTTTGTCATCTAGACTTGGAAGTGATTAAGCTCAAGTGTGATTAATCTCAAGCCAACTATCAAGCTGAAAGGACAGAATATGAATGTTAAGAAAAGGGGATCACTGAAAGCCATTTAGGAAACTGCCTACAAATTATGTGGATATGGATGTCTTATGAAAATAAAATTCCTTGTCTTAGAGTGGTGTCTTTTTACTTTCTTTTTCTTTTTTTCTACATCTAATATTTTAGAACCCAAAACATGGGGATAAAGACAAATTTTAGCATCTTATCCTTAATATTTAGGAGCACAGCATATGTCATGTTGAGGATGCTATTATGCCTTTACATTATGTTGGAACGTGTATATTCATCTCTGGCTCTCTTTTTTTCTCTCAAGTGATGGTGATTTATAATGTCTAGAATAAAGTATACTTAGAAACCAAATTAAAACTGTATTTTATCGTATTCGTGTAAGCTTACTAAAGTATTACTAAATACTCCTGTTTGCATCTTCATCATCTCCAAACTTTTTTCTCCTACTATGGCATCTTTTCATATCTGCATGAACCAAATGTGGCTTTTGAAATAGGAAATTTTGGATGGAATGATAATCCACTATGAAGGAGTCATATAGTTAATGTAAGGAGAAGGGCTGACTTACAAGACCTAAATATATTTTGAAATTCTTCAACACTACTATACCTTCTCTTTAATGTACCCAGAACATATGTCTCAGATTTCAATAGTCCTTGGAGACACATTTTCCTCAAATACCTGAATAAAAAGACAAACCTACAGTCTTACTTTATTATATATAAGAACTTAATAATTTACCAGGTATTCAAAGATACCCAGGAACATTTATCTTCTTCAAAATATTTCCTGATTTTCACTTGCCATTCCATTTCTCATCTGGATCCAGATCAGAACCTTTACCTACTTTTCTGCAGGTTACTCACTCCTGGCTTTCTTCGTGCTTGTGTGGCTCTCTTTTAAACACTTCACACTGAGTTGTGAACACCTATCCCTTCTTTTTTCAAAAGGTCTTTTTTCCCTTCTTTTTTCAGGAGGCAAGGAAGGGGGAGGCAGTAGGAAGGACTGAACAGAGAGGAAGACGTGCAAAATACTCATTTGGAACAATGGGAGATTGAATAGACCGGACAAAGAATGATTAAAGTGAGGACTGCTGGCATGGCCCTGTTTTCCTCCAGCCATGTTTAGTTGCATCGTTGTGGCATGGAATAGATGGAGAGCTGGGTTTATCCAGGGCTCCCATCTTACTAAGCAGATAGGAGGTGACAGGGAGGCGGGTGAGTTGAGGAGGTGTGCAAGGGACCAATGAGAATGGTTGGCCATGGAGTTTAAGCTGGCTCACTAGAGAGGGAAAAGTCATAAAGGAAGGAAGAAACAGTGAACAGGTAGTAAGATCTTGATTGGAGGTGCTGGTAAGGTTGCAGGAGTTTTGTTTCAGGGCAGTATAGGGAGTAACCTGGATAGCTAGGAGGTGGTGGTCAGAGTGGGCTACTGTGGGGTTTGCAGTCCTTGGACCTGACAAGGTCTAAGGTCTGATCATGGAGGGAGGGGGAAGCTGAGGTAGGGCAGAGGACAGGAGTGGGCTTCATGAGATCAAAAGGATGTCAGAAGGATTATCTACCCAGATACTGACATCTCCATGAAGTAAGAGGCCTAGTGTGAAGAAGTTACAACATCCTAAGCTCTTCAGGGATAAGGGAATCATGTGCCACGTGGGTAGCCTCCCCAGTCTAGCACCCAGTATATAGCCTATGCAGAATGAATACCTGAGGGCTGCTGGGGGCGAAAACAAGGTCCCTGTGACAGGACTTGAAGCCTGGGGGTCTCGGTGACAGGAGTGGGCCTAGTTTTTAGGTGTAGAATTGAGCCTTGCGTGCACTGGTGGGATCTTATTGAAAGGATCCCCTCCAAGACTAGAGGAAGATGCATCCTGACAATGTAGGCTCTGTAGGCGTCCCAAGTACCTGGGCTGGGGGTTAGATGGACTCCAAGGCATTTCCTCAGGTGGCAATGGGAGGATCCCTGGGAAGGCAAAGCTGTGCAGGAAGAAAATGGCAAGATGCTACATTCCCTCAGGGAAAGCCCCTTTACCGGGAGCAGGGAAGGCGAGGTAGTTTAGGCTGGGTCAGTTTGTCCCTGCCCTCAGAGTCTGTTGGTCCTGGAAAAAGAAGGCCTTATTTTATTTATTTATTTTTCTTTGAGACAGTGTCTTGCTCTGTCGCCCAGGCTAGAGTGCAGTGGCTCGATCTCAGCTCACTGCAACCTCCGCCTCCAAGGCTCAAGCGATCGTTCTGCCTTAGCCTCCAGAGTAGCTGGGACCACAGGGACCACAGGCGCCCGCCAGGACGCGGGCTTGCTTTTATTTATTTATTTATTTATTGAGAGAGAGCCGTAGCCTCCCTATGTTGCCCAGGCTGGTCTTGAACTCCTGGGCTCGAGCGATCCTCCCGCCTCGGCCTCCCAAAGGGATGGGATTACAGGCATGAGCCACCGCTTCCGGCCAAAAGAGGGCTTTAGGGCACCCCCAGAACGCGAGATCTCCCTCATCTGTCATCTTTAAAGAGGAGGAAGTGGACTCCCAGTCCAGCCATAGTCCATTCGTCCGGAGCACGGTCACTCCGGGGTGGCCAGGACCAAATGTGCCTCCTTCTGGCTTTTGCACCGCACCAACTAATCCGCGCCAGGCCGCACAGCTGCTCTGGCCTTCGGGGAGGACTCCTGGAGCGCGGTGTACACTGCTCCGGAGTCCCTCCGCAGGAGTTGAGGCAGCGAGTTCCGAGGGCGGGGTGGGGCGGAATCCGGAGGCACGCGGACCCGGTGGAACGCACTGCGCAGACGGCGCCGGCGCCTGCACTCAGCTGTTGACGAGTCTTTCTTCCAGCTCTACCCTGAAAGTCCTCCAGGCACCGGTCTTTTTTTTCTGCCTTTTGTTTCCCTCCCGGCGAGTCGGCGCGACAGTGAATTTCCGTTTCCCGCGGTGTCCAAGCGGACCTGAGGAGTTGCAGCTGTGAGCAGGTTCGGTGGTGCCGCGGGCTGGGGTAGGCGGCGGTGGGGTCCCTGGCTCTGGGGCACTGGGAAGATCGCGAGTCGTGCGCGTGGGAAGGTCCTCCGGCTCATCTTTGCTCCCCAGGAGCAGCATATTTCGCATCTGCCAGAGGTGTGCCCGGGGGTCGTTGGGAGAGGGACGGGGTGAATCCCTGCAGAGAGCCGGGACGGGGAGGGAAGGTGTCGGGGAGACGTGGTTTCCTGGCGACGTGGTCCCGGCAGGCGACTTAGACCTGAGCCGAATGTGTTGACCCCAAATTGTGCTTTTCCCAAGAAGAAAAGGGAGAGAAACATTAGGACAAGTTCGGAACTAAAATATAGTAGAGAAGCAACATAATCTCTGAAATCACACAGCTATTCGGTTTCAAAGAGTTCCTAGTGCCCAGCTCTCCTAACTCCCGGCTGGTGTTCCTTGACATTATGGTGATATATAAAGACTTTCTATTTCCGCTCGTGTGTGTGTCTGTGGGAAGCCTCTGACTCACCTCTGTGCCCCAGTAGCACCCTGTGCAGCCTTGCAATGTAGCCCTTATTGCATGGCACGAAAGATACTAGTTTGGATTCTCTGCAAGTCAGATCATAGGTATATCCATTTACTGGCACAGTGGCTAGCACATCATAGACAGACACAAACATTTATTAAACGGAATTAATACAGGACCTTAATTGAATGAAGTGGCACCCTGCCCCGCTGTTTTTCAATCAAGCTGTCAGATTTTATGCAGCCCGATATTCTAAAAAAAAAACTCACTAATTCAGTGATTACCAATTTATTGGCCACAGATTCCCAGGTACCTCAGAAATCACTGGAAGGGTCTCTGTAAGTCCATAGGGTCTCCAGGCATCATTTAGAACCAGTCATATCTCACACATGCAGATATTGCTATTTTTCAAATGTATGTAGATGAGTTGTAATTTAGGAGTTTTGCAGAGTCAACAGGTACTAAAAGTAATACTGTGATCATGTTGGAAGTTCATAAAAGCATTTTAAATTTTTTATTAAAATTTAAGTTTTGGTTTAAGTTAGGAAACCACTTCATTAGTCCAGTCAATATCTAGGTCTGAGCTGTCTAGTATGGTAGCCACATGTGACTATTTAGAGTTGGAATGAAATTAATTAAAAATTCGTTTTTTTCAGTTTCTCTAAGTACATTTTCAGTAACCACATGTGGCTAATGGCTAAATGGTGGAAAAGTACAGATACAGAATATTTCTATCCTTGCAGAAATAGATACTGATGATGTTGACACTTAAGACGAATAAAAAGTAACTTAATCATAAAGTGTAATCTTAGCAGAAGTAACTCATCTAATTTATAGCATAACAGAGATAAATGAAATTGGGGAGGGTTAAGCAGTTTCTACCCTTGTTCAGTGAACAAATACATCATGTCTTCATAAAGAAATAAATGAAATTTAATGTTTTTCCCTGGGTATTGCCTGGATTGTAAAATGCTTCTCCCACCTCCTTACCCCAACCTTCTTCCTTGTAGGTTAGAGTTACTTGTTATTGGTAAATAGCCACTATGGAGACTAAGGACCAGAAGAAACAAAGAAAGAAAAACAGTGGACCCAAAGATGAAAAGAAAAAGAAGCGGCATCTGCAGGATCTCCAGCTAGGAGACGAAGAAGATGCCCAGAAGAGAAATCCCAAAGCTTTTGCAGTTCAGTCTGCTGTGTGGATGGCTCGATCCTTTCACAGGTATGTTTAGCTACAGTCTGATGCTTCTTTCATTGATTCTTTTTAAATAGTAGGAGCCTCTCACAGGTGACATTTGGATTCACAAGTCTAGTCCAGCTCCAAAGGACATGGAGATGCATGCTGTGTGGCTTTTACTAAAACGTGAGAAGACTTCCCATAGAAGCTGCCTTGCCTCCAGCATCTGCACACTGGTTGGTGTTTCTTGCCCAAGATACAAGAATTTATAGAATTTGATTCTTCCTAAACTTTAAACTGTTTCTATGGTGATAAGTGTGCTTTTTCCCACTGGATATGTTTTACAAAGTTGTAATATAAAATACAAAAATTACAACATTTAATACTAACATAGCTTTATTGAATGAGTCCTTATGATATTCTTAGCAGTGTACTTTAAACATTATTCAACTAAATCCTCCCAGCAGCCTTACCAGAGTAGGAATCATTCTTGCCCTCTTTTTATGGACAAGAAAACTGAGGTCAAGAAAACAAGTTACCTCCAATCGTATAACCAGTAAGTAGGAGAGCCAAATTTAACTCCAGAGCCTCTGCTCTTATCTGTTATGATGCACTGCCTCGGTATTTACCTTTTGGTTTTTAAAAAATTATTAAAATCACTCATAAAACAGTCAGATTTAAGGAGTGTTTAATTTTCAACTCTCTATACTATTGAAGTTATCTTGTTACATCTTTATTGAACAGAAGTTATTTGGATGGGGCTCAAAAGTTAACAAGTTAATTGACAAGTTAATTATATTTATATATTGTCTGTTATACTCTATAAAATATACGAAAGTACTGATATCTATAAGTATATTTTAAAAGTCTACTTTTACTCTATTTTGAAAGTGAGTTTACTTTTTTGTTTGTTTTTTTTTTTAAATGAATAGGACTCAGGATTTGAAGACAAAAAAGCATCGTATTCCAGTGGTTGATCGAACTCCACTAGAGCCCCCACCAATAGTGGTAGTGGTGACGGGGCCTCCAAAGTTGGAAAGAGCACTTTGATATAATGCCTCATTCAGAACTTCATTGGCAGAAGTTGACTGAGATCAGAGGCCCTGTGATGATCGTGTCAGGTAGGGGATGCCACCACAGACATAGAGTTGGCATGGCTGTTGTCATCTGAGGGACATGCGTGTGTTTGTTGTTTTCTTGAGTGGAACATGTTAAATTTTGTCATATCATGTTACTTCTCTTATGCTTTTACTAAGTTAGCTATAACTTCAGAAAAGGGTAAGTTCCCAGAGATAAGGATGTGATACATATCTTATCCTGACTGCTGTATGGCTTTGCCAAGCATGTTCCTTGGAAGGGCGTAGCAGGCCTGGTCACTGTGAACATATCATTTAACAAATAGCACGTACCTCCTATGTGCCAGGTGCACATGCTTGCCCTTACGAAGCCACATGCTGGTGGAAGTGCGCGTTTTCTCTTTTTCCTGTGAGAATTTGTCTGCTTTGGGAGATGGCGACCTTTCCGAGTGTGAGGGAAGATGAAACAAACTTCCAGTGGTAGAATGGCAATGTACACTCTGAAATCTCTTGTTATTGCAATAATATAGTTGGATTGAGGCTTTTCTTTATCTTTGGAGCTTCCATATTTTCTTTTCCTTTTTTTTTTTTTTTGAGGCAGAGGCTTACTTTTTATGAAAAAAAGTTCATAAATATGTATTGATTTTTGTACACATGGCACCTCTCTTCTTTTTTTTTTTTTTTTTGAGATGGAGTCTCACTCTGTCACCCAGGCTGGAGCGCAGTGGCATGATCTCGGCTCACTGCAAGCTCTGCCTCCCAGGTTGACACCATTCTCCTGCCTCAGCCTCCCAAGTAGCTGGGACTACAGGCGCCTGCCACCACGCCCGGCTAATTTTTTATATTTTTAGTAAAGACGGGCTTTCACCATGTTAGCCAGGATGGTCTTGATCTCCTGACCTCTTGATCCACCTGCCTCAGCCTCCCAAAGTGCTGGGATTACAGGCGTGAGCCACCATACCCGGCTGGATGTTGGTTTTTATCAAAAGCCTTTTCTGCATCTATTGAGATAATTATGTGGTTTTTGTCTTTAGTTCTCTTTATGTGACAAATCACATTTATTGATTTCTGTATGTTGAACCAACCTTGCATCCCAGGGATAAAGCCTACTTAACTGTGATGGATAAGCTTTTTGATGTGCTGCTGGATTCAGTTGCTGAGTTTTGTTGAGAATTTTTTCATCAATGTTCATCAAGGATATTTGCCTGAAGTTTCCTTTTTTTATTGTGTCTCTGCCAGGTTTTGGTATCAGAATGATTCTGGCCTCACATAATGAGGTATGAAGGAGAAGGAGTCCCTCCTCCTCAATTTTTTGGAATAGTTTCAGCAGGAACGGTACTAGCTCTTCTTTGTTCATCTGGTAGAATTCAGCTGTGAATCTGTCTAGTCTTGGGCTTTTATTTTTTTTTATTTTTTTTATTTTTTGGTAGGCTATTTGTTACTGATTCAGTTTCAGAGCTCATTCACTATTGGCCTCTTCAGGGATTCAAAATTTCTTCCTGGCTCAGTCTTGGGAGGGTGTATGTGTCCAGGAATGTATCCATTTCTTCTAGATTTTCTTGTGTGTGCATAGAGGTATTCATAATATTCTCTGATAGTTATTTGTATTTCTTTGGAGTCAGTGGTAATATCTCCTCCATTGTTTCTGATTGTGTTATATATGGATTTTCTCTCTTATTAGTCTAGCTGGCAGTGTTTCTATTTTATTGATTTTTTTGCAAAAAGCCAACTCCTGGATTCATTGATCTTTTGAATACTTTTGTGTTTCAATCTCCTTCAGTTCAGCTCTGATTTTGGTTATTTACTGTCTTCTGCTGGCTTTGGGGCTGGTTTTTTGTTGGTTCTTTTGTTATTTTAGTTGTGATGTTAGGTTGTTAAATTGAAATATTTCTAACTTTTTGTTGTGAGTATTTAGTGCTGTAAATTTCCATCTTGACACCGCCTTGGTTGTGTCCCAGAGATTCTGGTATGTTGTATCTTTTTTCTCATTCGTTTCAAAGAACTTCTTAATTTTGGCCTTAAGTTCATTATTTACCTAAAAGTCATTTAGCAGCAGGTTATTCTATTTTGAATTGAACGTTTATGAAATGCTTAAACATTTTAACTAGCCTTTTTTAAAGTGCAATGAGAACTATTAACAAAGAGATAATAGATACATGAAATGATGCTTATCAATTTACCTAACTTTGCATTTTTCTGTCACTACTATTTTGTGGGAGTCTAAGTCTCTTTGAAGGTCTCTAAGAACTTGCTTTATGAATCTGGGTGTTCCTGTTTTGGATGCATAAATATTAATGTTTAGAATAGTGAAGTTTTCTTGTTCAATCAACACTTTATCATTATGTAATGCCCTTCTTTGTGGGCCAGTCCCAGAGAAAGCCTGTTATATTTCACTCAATTTTCTTGGAAACCTCTCTTGTTTAAAGTGTATTGGGACCCAGGTGCTATGAGGTATATTCTTATTCCCCACCTCAAAATATGTAAATTATTGATACTGTTAAAAGAAAAACTTTAGACAAATTTAAGAGAGTTTACTTGAGAAAAGAAAAAAAATGATTTGCAAATCAGCCCTTAGAATCAAAGAAATTTCAGAAAGACTTTGGCACTGTCACATGGTCAAATATCTATGGGAAAAAAATGTAATGTGCAGAAACCGAAACTGAGGTACAGAAATAGCTGGATTGGTTACAGCTCAGCATTTGCCTTATTTAAACAAGGTTTAACCAGTTGGCCGCCTATGAGTGGTTAAAGTATAGCTACTGGGATTGGCTGAGACTAAGCTGTTGTTACGGGGACACATACTACTAAACTTAGACTTTTAGTTTGTTTACCTGCTAAGTATGTGAGTATGGAGATTTTTCAGGCTAGATTTTAGTTTTATTTAGTAATACATTATGGGATCTGAAGGACACTTTTGTAAAGGTTGAAACAAACATATTTTATGCACATTTCCATTTCCGACAAAAGAAAAATGCTCCTTTAGCTCTGCTAAGTGTGACAGTTTCTAAATTAAAAGAACATTATTTACATCTCAATTGTTAATTCTAATATTAATTTCAAGTATTAATAATATAATCATTTTTCACTAAGCCTTCCCTTTTATGCCCGTTTACACTTTCAAATCTAATTATATTCCATTTTCATTTTAAAGGTCAAGCCCCAACTGTTTCATGGTGTGCCTTCTTTCTAATCAAGTATTTGAGACCAGTGGGAGTCAGGCTGGAACTGTATCATGTCAATTTTCACAAGCTGACATTCACAGTAAAAGTAGTTCTTGATTACTTCCCTAACACCTTTGATGTTAAGGGAAAAAAAAACAACAACAACACTGAGCTGTGTATATTCCCTCCTCATGCTCCTGGGTGAGAAATCATAGTTAGTAGCTGCTGATCTTGGAAATCAGAGTTTCGGCTACATTGCTAGCAATAACCTAAATCAATACAGAATAACAACACAAGCCAGTATGTGGTAAGTCATGAAAAATAGATCGGTAGTGATATCAATTGAAAATGATACAGAAAAACCATATTATCTAGAAAGAAAAATACAATTTTATAACACTCTTGGTCCTGAATAGTTTTAACTATGGTACACAAAGCAAGCAAGCAGCAAATTACAGATAAAGATGACTGTTACTTTCTTTCTACTGTTAACACCCTCTGGTAATAGATTGTAACAGAATGACTATTTGGAGGGTTAAGCATTGGGAGATGTCCCTAATTACATAGCATGTTTGGTAACATCATCACATTTTAATTTGCATAGTTTTGCTGTTTTTGAAACTGCATTTATGAGATTTTGGGGAACAGGGTTAAATGGTGACAGAATAGTGTCCTTTGTGAGTATGTGAAATGGAATAATTGGGATAAATAAATAGGGTTTATGTTTCATCTTCACTTCATCTCCAAGAAGTGAAGCATTATTTGTACCATTCCTTACATTTTATATATTTTAGGAATTTATAAGGTTCTTGTTTAAGGTAGGGTAGTAATTGGAACATGTTTAATATGAGCAATTTTGACCAACTCTCTTATTTTTACATATATTATATATATATATAACGTTGTGAGAATTATGTAGACATTTAAGACTTCTTTTTTCAGGCTTTGATACTGATTTCTGAAATAAATATGCTCCATAAAAATTCTTGCAATTTTTAATAGTTATGGACTTTCAAATCAGTTCCCAAATACTTAGTATTCTCACTATACTTTTTTAGAAAGTATATATATATATATATATATATATAGAGAGAGAGAGAGAGAGAGAGAGAGAGAGAGAGAGAGAGAGAGAGAAAATCATTACAGCTGTGAAGTATTTTATTTCCCTCTGTTGAGATTTTGAGAGCTATTGTAGCCTTTCAGAGCTTAGATGAGCTACCTGAGGAATTATTTGCAAAGGGATTGCAATCCTAATTTCAGACAAAACAAACTTTACAAACCAACAAAGATCAAAAAAACAAATAAGAAACCGTATACTCAAGTGATGGAAATGGAATATCTCAATTTATCAAATCTTATAGAACTTTTCATAAGAAAAATATATTTTCTTTAGAAATGCGTACTTGGGACCAAATTGTATCACTTAATATTATTTAATATTTTAACTATGAGATTTTTCTAGGACTTGACTTTAATCCTTAGTGTATCATTGATTACTAATTCTTGCTACAGTATGATGAGGGCAATAACATGTTTGAAAATTTAACCTTAAATTTTTGCTAATTCTAGTGGTAGCAAAATATTTATATACCCCTAAATAAATTTTGAGGAATCAAAGGATTGATACATAAGTGAATACATATAAAATGTTGATTGCAAACAAAAGAAAGATGATTGTCTGAGAGAATATAATTTGTCAGGGCATTTTATTTGCAGGACGTAATAAAACTGGACAATAATATCTATCTCATACAGTCCTTGTGAGTATTAGATATATTAATCTTATAAAGCATATGAAAGAATGCTTAGCACATAGTATTTGCTATATGAGTGTTATTTATTATCAATAGTATTCTTAAGTATCTAGATTTAGAGCTACCCTGAGGCTCTACTGAATACAGTATGTAAGAAATTTCTCATTGTAACTTTCCCTTTTCTGTTTTGCACACATTTCTTGTGGGATTACTTGAAGAAATATTCTCAGTATTGTTCCACATCAAGATGGCCACTAGTAGCACTGAGCTTATGTCTTACTAGCTAAGCTACTTTTTCAGAAAATGAACATTGTTTTCCTCAATAATTTCAACAAAATTTCTAGTTAAGTTTCTCAATACACTAGGTTGGATCATGAGCATATTACAAAATAAACCATATGGTTAATCTTTATTTTGGACAGGTTGAGACATATTATGACCACTGCCCATGATGATTAGGTCCATTGCTCTCACATGGTGTGAACTAGAAGTGAAAGAGAGGTAGAAATTCAAAAAAGATTGAAATGCTGCTACAGAAGAAAAAGAAAATACTGAGGTCTCTGTAATCACAGATATTTATGTTATAAGAAATCAATACAGATTAAAAATTAGGTAAGAAAATTGATTTACTAATAATCTTGATCTTTAGCCACATTTCTCTGAAATAAATTTGCTCTAATGCTGTGACGGGGATCAGCAAGCTACGTTTTCCAAGTTCCTTCAAGTGGGATCCTGCTAGGTTCTGCTATTGGGAGGTACTAGAGAAACATAGGCAAAAGAATGGAAGAATAGGTCTCCTTTTCCTGTTTGTTTGCTGTCCTTGCCGATATTCTCCCAAGAACATCCCCTTGCCCAAGGAGCAGTAATTGTTTCAGTTTACCAATTTTTTCAGAGCCCCAGAAAGTGCCTCTTCAGAGGTAACAGCAGCAGTTGGAACATATCTCTCCCTCAGAGGTCTAGCCTCAGCTCAGGAAGGCTTTTACTCTGAGTTAACAAATTTTAATAACTCCAGTCTCTTCCCTTTATTCATCTAAGCTTCTGAGGAGGTCTGTATGTGGCCAGGAGATGGTGGTGATAGCTGCATCTTGCAGTAATTTTCTTTGCTTTCCACAGTGTTGTTACTTTTTTCTCCGATTTCTTATGTGGTCAATTTTTTAATATTAACTCATAGTCATAGTGTAGTATTCATGCTTTATGTGAAATGAAATGTTTTTTATAATGTAGCCATGGCCTACCAATAGCATATTTTCTTTTAGATTTGGTGATATATATTTTGCTTCAGTGACTTTATATCCTTATTTGTTGCCCAAATTAGTTTTTTGTATACAAAACATCCACTATTACCCTGGTCCCATCATTTCTTCTGTTATCCATTGTCCTGTGATTTCTCCTGGAAAGTGAATTGTTTATCCGTCCATTTCACTCTGTGAAGTCATACAGGTCTATCTATATAGAACTCCTGTGCTCCAATTTATTCCCTGTGTGAAACTGGGCAATGTATTAATCTGGGAATATGTTTCTTCATATGCAAATCAGAGATAACACTTACCTCACAACATTGTTTAGAGCATTAAAAGAAATATAATATGATATCATTCACACAGAATTTCCCTGGGTGTGAATTGAACAATGTCAATTTTTCTCCCATTTAATGTGAAAACTAACTATATAAATAAACAAAAAAAACAAAAAAAAGAAGAAAAAATCAATAAAAATTATTATCAAATGTATACATATTAAAATATTATCGAGTCTTATACAAATTGAGTTTTTCAAAAATAATAATGATTGTAACTTTTATATTGCAGTTAATGCAAGAAGCATTATGAAGGAGAATCACATGTCTAGAGCAAAGTGATGTTAATAGTGTTTATGTTTGAGCCAGATGGAACTCCTCATAGGAGCACACAGTGCTCACCTCCTCCCAACTTTGCATTCAAAGAAATCATATTCATAAGCCAAAATTGGTCATAGAGGAAATATTCAACACCACTAAATTAAGCAAACTAAAAATACAGCAGTTTTTCTCAGTGAACTGGTTGTTAAATACATACTAAATCACCACTAGGTGGTATAGGCCCTCATAAATCGCAAAATAAAAATGGGACTGCTTAGTTTCTATTTTGTTACTTTCTTTATTTCTGAAGAGAATGAGCTCAAATTTTAACAGCAGAGAAAAAAATATAGTTATGAGAGAATCAGACTTTCAAGTATGTGGGGCTATTTTAAGGAAGGACATAGATGTTCTAAATTTATCCTAGCCAAGAAAAAAAATGTGCTTGGTTGGCTACAAATGAAAATCAATAAAATCCTCCCATAGGATTATTGATCAGTCTAAACCAAGTGTCAATTTTTTTTTTTTTGTAAAGGGTCATATTGTAAAAATGTTGGTCTTTATCAGCCTGTTTCTGTCTCAACTAACAAACTCTGCTGCATTAGTGTAAAAGTAACCATAGGCAAAGAATGTAAATGTAAATGAATAAATATAATTGTGTTCTAATAAAATTTTATTTGTATATCAAAATTTAAATTTTAGCATGTCATGATAAGTTATTCTTTGGGTTTTTTTCAATGAGTAAAAAATGTATAATCTACATTTAGTTTGCTTGCTCTACTAAGTGAGTTGGGGGCCAGATTCAGCTTGAGGAGGGTGGCTAGCTAACTCTTAGTGTAAACAATATATATTATTTAGTATTCCTTTGAAGTGATCAACTTGGTTATAATCATGGTAAGCTGGCAAGTGAGTTGTAAGATAAGGACTATGTTACTTAAGTTCTCCAGAGAAACAGAACCATAAATGAGATAGATAGCTGAGATAGATAGCTAAGGTAGATGTAGACATAGAGGTAGAGATGGAGATAGAGATAGATGAGATAAAGATACAGATGATAGAGATAGATATAGATGACACAGAGATACATATACTGATACAGATGAGATAGATAGAGATAGAGACAGAGATAGCTAGAAGAAGATAATTCTTGGGAGGAATTGGCTCACAAGGATGTCGAGGCTGAGAAGTTCCACAATCTCCTGCCTGCACGATGGAGGCCCAGGAAAGTTAGTGATATAGTTCAACCTAAGCCCAAAAGTCTGAGAACCAGGTGTTCCAATATCGGAGGACAATAGAAGATGGATGTCCCAGCTCAAGAAGACAGATTAAATTCACCCTTCCTCTGCCTTTTTGTTTTATTTGGGCTCTGAATAGATTGAAGGATGCCCATAGATACTAGTGAGGATGATCTTCTTCACCCAGTCTACCTATTCAAATACTAATTTCTCTGGAAACACAGACACACTCAGAAATAATGTTTCATCAGCCATGTGGGCAACCCTTAGCCCAGTAAAACTGACACATGAAATTACTCATCACAGGGAGGTCTGGGACAATTCACGTCTTTGTTAATTTAAATAGACACATGAAGAAATTATTTTTCCTCTATCTTTTTTCCTTCTTCTTTCTCTTTCTTTCTTTCTCTCTTTCTCTTTCTTTTTGTTTTTAACTAAAGGACATTTTGTAAGCACATGAAACCAGGGAATTGCAGTAGCCATATGGCTACTATGAGGTGAGAAAAAGGAACGTTTTTGCATCCTGCAGATCTGCCCCATCTATGGTCTTTGTGTTAACTGAGACGACAAATACGTTACTGTCTAAGCTTCCTTTAGTAACGTCTTCCACTACCTTTATGTTAAAACATTTTAAAAGATAAAATTAAAAATATAAAATGTTGTCCTTTTAGAGTGGAATAAAGTTGGCTTCCATAAGCTCCGATGTGAATTTTACACTGATTCTGGCCAAATTTTTCAGACAATTTTAGAAAATTGCCTAAAAATACTCTGTAAATCTAGTGTTAATTATTAGACATTATTTTTTTCAAATGTTATTAATATTATAGTGTTAGATGAAGAAAGTATAATCACTAGGGATGAGTTTAATTTCCTTAAGACAGACAGATATCAGGATCCTCTAATAATACATTAAAGGCCCACTAAAGTCAGAGGTATGTATTTGGTAATGTACCTCACTATATTCTTGTGGACAAGAAGGAGCAATATGGATTAGGTAATGGAATAATTTGGTAAATTATTTAATGGTTAATAGTTACATATTACTAACAAATAAAATGGTTTTAACCTGAAAAATTCATTTTTGTTTATATTCTGATAACATTTTCATCAGTGTTTTAGACATGTTCATCTGTCAAACACATGAAAAGTGAAACAACTCTGAGGATTAGCTAATAGGTTGATAAAATAAAAACCTATATGGATGTCTGTGTATTATAATTATGAAACAGCTTTTAGTCAATAAAACTAAATAGGAAAGACCCTTAAATATTACATATTTAACAATAAACCACACACACATAATGACAATGCTAGGATGAGAGACATATGTTTTAAAAAGCAAGATTTTACTACAGCAAGCAGTGTTTAGCTAGCTAGGCTGTAAACCAAGGGTTGGCAAAGTATGGCCTGCAAGCCATATCCAGCCAATAGACTGGTTTTGTAAATAAAGTTTTATTGCAGCATGGACACACTCATTCATTTGTGTATTGTCTATAAATGCTTTCTCACTGCAACAGCAGAGCTGAATAGTTGTATAGAGATTATATGGCCCACAAAACCTAAAATCTTAGCCTCTTTCCCTTTACAGTAAAGGTTTATTAATCCTGCCTAAAAACAATTTAGCAGAGTAATTTGGCTACAAGGAAAATAATGAATTTCTCTTATACGTTTAATGTCTGGACAAGGTTAATGAGAGCTATGTTTTTCTCCAGGTAGAGTATCCTGGACGTGCAGTTTAAAAAAAAAAAAGCATCACATTTTGAGAGTCTGTCATTTGAAGGCATGGTCTAGTCTAATCATGGTTTATCTCAAATGTAAGTTCAGAAATTGTGGATGTTACAGCAAGATATAATTTGACTCTAAATCAGCAAGTACTTTCAAATATTCAGAACTATCTGGAAGTGAAACAGCTTCCTCTGTAGACAGACAGCAAGTTTCTTATCCCAGAGCCTTGTAGATAGACCATCTGTGCAGGTTATAATCAGGAGATTCACAAATGTGGTAATGATGACATAGTCACATTGACAATGAGGCTTTTAGTCATACAGATTAAATATATACTCTATTGTGCAAACCTCCTAGTAATTGAGAATAAACTTAATCTTGGGCTGCAAGTAGATACAAAGTATTCCCAGTTAGATTTTACATGTATACATTTTGAAACTATTAATTTTTTTAAAATAAAGCAACGACTTTAAAAAAATTTTTATTTATTATTTATTTATTTATTTATTTTTATGGAGTCTCACTCTGTCGCCCAAGTTGGAGTGCAGTGGCGTGATCTTGGCTCACTGCAACCTCTGCCTCCCAGGTTCAAGTGATTCTCCTGCCTCAGCCTCCCGGGTAGCTGGGACCACAGGCATGTGCCACCATGCCCGGCTAATTTTTGTATTTTTAGTAGAGACAGGGTTTCACCATGTTGGCCAGGCAGGTCTTGAACTCCTGACCTCAGGTGATCTGCATGCCTCAGCCTCCCAAAGAGCTGGGATTACAGGCGTGAGCCACTGCACCCAGCCAATTTTCCCATTTTTGACACACTAATTCTAAAGTAAACTTTCCCCTTCATTACTTGAAGATTTATTTCAGGTGTTTTTCAGTTCCTCCTAATTTCAGCTCCTCAGTTCATATTTGGCTCACATTAATGATGGTTATCTGTTCTTGACACATAGAAAATACAAATATAGGACTTTTACTGAATTCTATTTTTTAAAAAGTTCTAAGGAAAAAGCTATTACATCCACATATATGTGTAAAATGTAACATGGACCTAAGAACTACTGTGAATAAATAGCTTGACTTTTAATACAAGAGAGTATATTGAATTTAAAGCTAAGAATCTGGGAATTCTAGAGTACTGTCTGCTAGAAACATTATTATGTCAAAAATAACAAAAAGGGTTATTTGACATGATTTGCTGATCACTAAGCCCACTGAGGGAAGCCCTCCAAGGTTTATGTGAGAAGTAGTCAGTTTTTTACTGGTGCAGAAGAAATGCTTTTTATTGCTCCAAGGATGGCACTGAGCCCCACAAAGCAACCACTGGGGAATATCAGGTTAATAGCATGAATCTGTGGTTATAAAACAAGCACACTGTTTTAAAAACATATTTAAAGTAATTCATGAGTTGGATGTTTCCTGATAGGTATACTTTTCAGTTTAGGCATTTAAAAAAAAGTCTGCAGTGTACCTTTATTTTCACTTTTACTTTGGTGTTTTGATGTCTATAGAAATGAGCAGTTTCTCTACTTCTTTCCCAGAAATTAATCTCCAATGCTGACGTGAGCACAAAGACCTTATGTACTGCGCTGGGAAATATGTTGTGTTTTAAGAATAAAAATTTTCATTAGAGTTAGTTCATGCATCACAGATATTATCCTTCCTGACAAGAGGAACACTGAAGCACAGACACTGTGTTGGGCTGTAGTTCTCAATGGAAAAATTAAGCTTTTCAAAATGTTAGTCACTGCCATGCTAGATGTTTCTTTAAGTCATTTTTACTACCTGTTTTGATAGATTCTAAGAATCAGTCTTACATTGTATTTTTCTATGGCTTACTGTTAAAATCTTATTCATAAAAATAACTATCACGCATGGAAATAGTATACACCAAAATCATAAACCAGAAAGTAATTTATATTTAACCCTCATAACAGTACTTCAAAGTAGAAATTATCTCATATTGTAGAGGAAACACAGGCTCAGATAGGATATAAATTGCCCATATCACAAAACTAGTAAGTGATGGAGCTAGAATACAAACAAGATCTGCCTATTTACACAAATCAATAATTTTTCCTCTATAACATGTTGTCATTACATGCCTTTGGTTTTCAAGTGAAATGCACTCAACTTCACATTTTAAAATATGCCACAAATGTACCCATAAAGTAAGTGAACTTGACTATTGAGTGGGACCACAATTATTAAAAAGTTTGCCTTGGGACCTTTGAAACAAAGACAGTATAGTGACCCTCGGGGAACTGAGTTACATGCCCAAGTCCAGCCAAGAGATGGAACTTGTGGGACCTCAGGTCTCCTGCTCCAGTCTAAGTCCAGCTCTTTCCTTCCATAGGAAAGGAAGAAGAAGGAAACCATGGCTCCTTTGGCACTTTAGAAAGAAATCCGAGCAATCCAGGGGCCAAAGCTCACACAGGCAATGAGTTCTCTTCACCTTTGTCTGGACCACTGTACCCAGGGCTCATGGATAATCCTCAAGCCCTGTGGGCTGTCAAGTAGGACGTGCCTAACTGCTAAGACTTGTGCTAACAGGAGCTCTGGGACCTCAGGGAGAATGGGCTCGCGTTCATCTTGCACCTGCCTTTGTTTTAGCACTGATCTAACTCTCACATTTTTTACCCACCAGTCTCCCTAGTAGCCTGAAAGTCATTCAGAGCCAGGGGTTGTGATGGTCCCCTCTGTGTCCACTGTCCCCAGCACAGGGTCCAGCACACCACAGTGGGTAGCAAATGCTATTTAAATGAGATGGGATGAAATTCCCTTCCTTCACTTTCTTCACCTCAAGGTAAGGACCATGTTCCTGTTTCCATCATTCCCTGTCCTTCTCCTGTCTGTGGTGACAGCTTCCTGCTCCAAAACAAAAGCCTGTGCAGATACCCAGAAGACCTGCTCCATGATTACCTGTGGCATCCCCGTCACCAATGGCACCCCAGGCAGAGATGGGCGAGATAGACCCAAGGGGGAAAAGGGAGAGCCAGGTCTGGGACAGGTTTCTGTGGCTTCCTAAATCTCCACCTCCGGCAGGTGTTCAAGCAAATCTGTGCTTGAGCCTGCCACACGAGGGTTAAAGCACAGACTTGGGGAGGCTCCCCTTTCATCAGGACCCATGCTACACTCAGAACAACCCCTGTAAAATGCCATTGCCTCCAAAACAAAGCTGTTCGTGGACTCTCTGGGATCCCATATTTCCACACAGGAACTGGGGGTGTGTGGTTGTCCCTTCAGAGGGGTGTCCTGCCTGGTTGGGGAGCTGGCCTTGGTGCAGGCCCTCCACTAGGTTGCAGGAGAGTCTTTCTTCTTTGGGTCAGATCACTGGCTCATTGGCTGTGCCGGGGGTGAACAGGAATGGAGCATTGAGCTTTTGGGGAAAAAAAAAAGAGTGACAGCCACTGGGTCATCTTCCCTTTGTCTTGCAACAGGTCAAGGGCTCAGAGGTTTGCAGGGCCCTCCTGGGAAGATGGGGCCCCCAGGAAACACAGGGACTTCTGGAATTCCAGGACCTAGGGGCCAAAAAGGAGATCGTGGGGACAATTCAGGTAAGGGGCACACGTCAGCATGTGTGGCCTGGGGGTCCCGGGCCTGGGGAGCTGAAGGACCAGCTGGGAGGTCCCCTTTTCCTTCTTCTCCTGCTGCCTCATGGGAAGATGCCCAACTCTGCATCCAGGCCCAGTGCGCCTGGCCCTCTCAACTTTACTTGGGGCCTGAGGAGACTCCCATAGGTGCCCAGGTGCAGACGTTCAAGCCATGTAGGGCCATTCCCTCATCAGGCCCCTTAGCAGATGGGCCCTGGCTTCTCTTCAGTGGAAACAGTTCAGTGTGCACCTCCGGGGTGCCAGGGAAGAAATAAGGCCCTTTAGGGGGTTGGGTTTACGTCCATTGTCACAAGAGTGGCACGAAAATGTTCTGCCTCTTAGGACCCCTGGCTGATGGGGAACATCACAGCCAACTTAGTTCAGAGTAAAATAGAGCAAAATTCAGTAAGAACAAAACAATAATGACAATCCACTTATTCATATTTGTCTACCAGCCTGTCAAAACAATAAAGGTATTTAAAAGTGTATCTGGAATGAGAAATGAGAAAGAATTACAAGAAAAATTTTCAAAAAGGAGGGTAATGAGTTGAGTATTTTCTTATGAATTCTTACAATATGACAATATGCAAGCCATATGTGGAGACGGGGGTCCAGGACTGAAGTTCCAGGTTGTGAAGGGATGTGGAGGTATAGCTGGGAAGGAGGAATGTAGTCATTTTCCCCTTTTTATTTCTTCTGCATTCTTATTTTCCTGGAATAAGCATTCTTCTTAGTAAGCTTTTTTCAAAATGCTCCGCTCTCCAAATTAAGGTCTTCTCCATAAATACCTTCTCCCTATTGCGTTGCAGTTGCTGAGGCTAAGCTGGCCAACTTAGAGAGAAAGCTATAGAGCCTGAGATCAGAACTGGACCACACGAAGAAGCGTGAGCTTTCTCTCTGCCCATAATGTGTTCTTGGCTCTCACTCTTTTCTTCAGCGCACTCTAGATTTGGAGGAGGTGGGAGGGGAACTAATTCATGAGCGCTCGTCCTACACCAGGGCCTGTGCTGGGTGGCATTTTCCCATAAGATGGTTTCATTCAATCCTCTCAGCAACCTCAGTTGTGGTTGTTGAACTTGCTTTATTGACAGGTGAGGAAACCGAGGTGCAGGAAGTGTTAGTGACTCATTTCAGGTCACACAGCCGGGAAGTGGCAGGGGAAGGGTTGGATGGAGATCTGTTGTCTCCAAAGTCTGTGCTCCTTCCTTGTCATCTACTGTGCTCTGATGTCTGTCCCTGCCTCTTCCTTATCCTGGTGCCCAAGCCTGCAGTGAGGCCCAAGACCGTCTCCCTATATGTACCTGTGCTGGGGCAGGTTTTAGCAGATGCTTTTTCAAGGTGGGATACCCAGGGGAGTCTGGGCTGTCTGCAGGAGTCTGGATGCCCCTTCCCAGGCTCTGCAGCTGAGGCTTACTTCCTGACCAGGCTCTGGCCTGAACTGCTGGGCATAGGGTGATTTTTCAGAGGTCTGGCTTCCCAGGGAACTCAGACTGCTTGCCTACTGTCCTGCGCTGGGCTCCAAACCCAGCCAGCCTCACTCACCATTTGTGGTTTCAGTGTAAGCCTTCTCCTTGGGGAAAATGTCTGGGAAGAAGCTTTTCGTGACCAATGGTGAGCGGATGCCTTTCTCCAAAGTGAAGGCTCTGTGTGCTGGGCTCCAGGCCACAGTGGCTGCCCCCAAGAATGCCGAGGAGAATAAGGCCATCCAGGATGTGGCCAAAGACACTGCCTTCCTGGGCATCACAGATGAGGCAACTGAAGGCCAGTTCATGTACTTGACGGGCAGGAGGCTGACCTACAGCAACTGGAAGAAGGATGAGCCAAATGACCACGGCTCAGGGGAGGACTGCGTTATTCTCCTGAACAACGGGCTCTGGAATGGCATCTCCTGCACCTCCTCCTTCATTGCCATCTGTGAGTTTCCTGCCTGAAGAGGCACGTTCCTCAGCCCCCTCCTTGCCTCCCTGCTGAACTCTCTGCTGCTTTGGAAGAGAATTCAATGTTGGTTTTCTTCTGCCCTGTGTTGAGTCCTTCCTTCATGTGGATGGGAGGAAAATGAAGGGGATATATTTGATTGTGGGGTGAGAACAGAAGAAGAGGCTGGCTGTCAGGCACAAGGGTTCTGGTTCAGCACATGGCAAAGGACACCACCATCCCACTAGGAGCACAGCGCTGGGTCGGAGTCTACCCTGGAAAGGGCCACATCTGACCCTCTCATTTCATGGTGAAGACACTGAAGCCCACCAGAAGGAACCAGTGGGGCCACACCTGGGTCAGAGTAGGCTGTAGATCCCAGCCACTGAGAGATCTTATTCCTTTTCTCCATGAGTTGCCACTACTGAATGCCTAAACTCCTTCCATGGTGAGCCCAGACCTCTCTAGGACACAGGTATTGTTTCTAGTTGTTCATGAGCTGCGCCAGACAACCTCTCACTACCTGACTGTAACACTTGGCAATATCCTACGTGGGCAACAGTTGTTAGTCCTAGGAATCCTCTCATCCTGCCCATGTAGCTGTGGCCACCCTTTAGTCACTAGGGTGACCTTAAGGCCAAAGAACAGCTTTTCCTCCTGCATCATTTTAGGATGCTGACTCGATATTGAGGTGTGTCAGCTGCGTGTGAGGAGGCAAATTGTCATGCAGAGTGTACCCTTCTCCGCAGGCCTCGTGAGTCTCATGAGTCTCAGCCCCAACCCCTACTCCAGTCCCCCACCTGGCCAGCAGCCCCTCCTTTCCCTGTAACACCCTCTTCCCATTATAGTTCAGTGGGCCCATTATCAGTACAGACAAGCGGAAAATTACCCCAAAGGTGAGCTTCATACCCTACGGGTTAAATTATGCGGGCCCAGCTGGCCAACAAATGCCATCCACTTTCGGAGCAGGCTTCTGATGCCATTGGGACCCACAGTTCTGCTCATGACCATGGCTGTTTTTCAGCTATCTCAGGGTGGGTGGCTCTGAGATGACATAGAGCCTGTGCAGCAAACTAAGGGAAGGGAATGGATTCCAGACCTGCCGTATGCCATTCACACAATGAGATGGGAAAATATTTCATAAAAAGGCTAAGGGCCACTTTAACTCTGTGAAAAGCTTTAGTTAATCTTGGTTTTCTATTTTACTTCTCTTTGTATCTGAACTACCAGGAAAATCACCACATGGTTGGTAAGTGCTTGATGAATATTTGTCAAATGGATGCATCAAAAAATTACACAGTGTGGGATCATGGTGGGATCCCAGGAGTGAATATCAAGCATGCTTTCTCTCAGTTGTCCTTCTTCTGTAGGACTATCCGGGCAGGGCTGGGACGTGCCAAGGGCATTGGGACCATCAGGGTGAGGGTGGCAGGACCTGTGTCCTTGGCCTCTGGCCTACATAGACAGCCATATCACTGAATTTTCAATTCCAAAAACCCCTTCTAAAGGTGCCAAAATTGGGGTCAATGAGAGGAGTATTTTCGTGATGCACAGCAAAATAATTAACTGCTTCCAATACAATCCACACTGCTTACCGAGGGAACAGGACACTGGTTAAGCTTTAGAAGCACATATGAACCATAGTGTATGGCAAATAGAGAAAGGAAGGACCAGAAACTTTTTAGAGGGAGAAAAGACACACATATACGGTGACCCAGAACAAAAGAATGACCAGAACCAAGCATGAATGTTACACCAAGCATGAATGTTACACCTGAATGTTCTCACAGCCTAGATGAAAATGAGAAAACTGGCCGGTGATGGTTACATCGTCCTTCCTATGTTATGCTAAGGAGGGTTGTCGTGGTCAGTGCTGAGATGAATGCCTCCTTTTCCACACTGTGCATAAAGGACAATATCTTCAGCCATGAAACTGTAGAACATGCAGTTATGTACTTCACATAGGGGTGAAGTACATAACTGGTTGTTATGGTTTTCCAGCATGCAATGATTGCCCCTCGGTCAGGGAAATGCAAAAAATCTTGCAGGGCAAGCTCCAATTCTTCCATCCCCCTTTCAGACTGCTTCTCTTAGTTCCTTCTACGGGACTCTTTTCCTCCTATCTCTCAATGACTACAGCCTCATGTTCCTGCTCTAAGAGCTTTTTATGCCACCAATGCCCTGTACTCCTTCTCCCCAGTTCATAAGCCTCCTTTCCCTGCCCCCTGGCACTTTGAGGTTCCTTGCTAATTCTCTCTTCTCTCAGCTCACCTGGCAGGGCATGAAGACTCCTATTTCTATTTGATGGTAAGGAAGATTGCCATGGTCAGTGCTTCTGGATGGGTCGGGCTTTGTTCTCTCCCTGATCCAGCACCTAACCATCTCTTTTGAGCTCCTCTCTCTAAATGTATCTGCTGCCACACTGTTCTTCCTTTAGTCTGGAATTGAGACAGATTGCCTCTCTGTATTCATTTCTCAGTTCTTATCTGCAAGCAGTGAGAGCCTGGTGTGTGTTAGCTGGGGAGAAGGTGGAGTTAATCTGAAGATATAGGATTCTCTTTCTGCAAGAAAGATGCCAAGAAAAACAGCTTTTAAAAAAGATACAGGATTCTCATGAAAGTCCAAAGATTGAAACTTCAGTTTATCCAGGCCTTCCAGGACCTGGGACAAGAGGAAAATTTTGGATTTAAGATGACCCTCCAAACAGTCTCCCTCCCTCCTACCCATCCTTCCTTCCTCCTTCCCTTTCTTCCTTCCTCCCTCCCTCCTTCCCTTCCTTCCTTTCTTCCTTTCTCCCTCCCTTCCTCCCTTCCTTTCTCCCTCCCTTCCTCCCTTCCCGACTTCTCTCCTTCCCTTCTCTCTCCCTCTTTCTCTGTCTGAACGGCTGAGGACAGGCAGCTTCCTTTATTAAGGAACAGACAATGATTGACATCTCTTGCACAGGGAACCCAGTGAAGCCACACACTCCACGGACAGGCCTGAGGAGCCCCAGGCAGCTCATTCCCCTGAGACTGCAGGAGTGGGGATGACTGTGAGCAACCTCTTGAGCCCTGCCGTTTGTTCGAATGGAGGAGATGTCTCTGCCATTCATTTCTCACGTTGGTTTTTGGACCGCAGAGCTGAAAGACATCTCCTAGCTGCAGTCTTCCTTTGCTGCCTCTTGCATGGAGTAAGAACCTGAAGGCCATGCTCAGAGCATTCCTGGAAGGGAAGCTGGTGTTCAGAACTCTGTGCAGCCTGGGCTCTGGCTCTGGGCCATGCCCAGGGGAGAAGAAGGCCTCGGTCTCTGTGCACTATGTTAGGGCCGAAGGAGAAATGGCTTGGTGGATGGGAAGTTCAGATTTTGGGAGCAGGAGACAGGGGTTTCAGGTTAGCTCCCTGACTAATGTACTCAGTGGCATGTCGGTTTCCTGGGCCTCCATTTCCCTATCTATAAATAGGTCACTAAAGACTTCTTTCCTCTAAAACTTAATGAATCAATTGTCACACACAAGTCCAGAGTGTAGGAGCCAATTCAGGAGCAAAGTGGCAGGATCTGAGTTTTTGTGTGTGTGTTATTTTGTAGAGATAAGGTTTCACCATGTTGTCCAGGCTGGTCTCGAACTCCTGAGCCCAGGAGATCCCCCCACCTAGGCCTCCCAAAGTGGTGAGATTACAGGTATGAGCTACTGTGCCCGGCCCTGTTTTCAGTTTTTGTTTCCTGGCAATTCTGTCCAAAGTAATTGTGGGCTAAATATCAGCTACTTCTGAATTCTACAAAAGACAGTCTGGGTAAATTAGAATGACAAATATACCTTGGCCTCAAGGTGGGAACTTCGGATTTAAATTATGTCTGCAGAAGTAGAGACACAGCAAGTATAATCACAATTTGCCTCCTGTGTCTGAATGAAAACAGCTACCAAAGCCTGTGACACTCGAGGCTCAGGCTCCTGCCTGGGTCTGAATCCTGGAATTGTAGGGCCTTGTGCCTGCAGGACACTGTTTTCTCAGAGTCCTACAGCTCTGCTGCTTCACTTTATCCATGTCCAAGCCAGAAGATGGGGAATGGGGTACCAGCTGAGGGCCCAGTGTTCATATCTTTCAAATCTTCTTCCTGCTGGTGCCAGCCAGCCTCCCTTCTCTGTGGCTGTCAGAGGGGGACCAGTGCCAGGGGTCACAGTCAGTCCCTGGACTTGCCCTCTGTGTCACAGCAGAGCCTCTGACCTGGAAGGCTGTTTGCTTGTCATTATGTAACTGGTCTGTGCTTTTGAGCCTGCCAAAGCTCAGGGTTTTTCCATTCTGGAAAGGGATTGGTTGCTATCAGAGGGCCTGGGCTGGAGATGCCGGGAAGTAGATTTTATAAAACGATGTTGTCCTGGTAACCCTGAGTGGCTGATGGGCTGCTGGGAAGAGGGGAGGAGATCAGGGCAGTGGGCCATCTGGGAAAGGGTGCTTACAACCCTGGTGGCCACTGTGTGAGGAATAGACAGTGTCCCCAACTATGAACCTGTGGTTTGTCCAGCAAACACAGGTGTATGTTTCAAAAAAGCTGGGGGCAAGCAGCCATTCATTAACCAAGCAAATGCCTTGGGTGAGGCTAGCCATTGCCAACCCACAGCCCAGCCTGCCCTGCCCTGGCTTATGCTTGTGCCACCTTGTACCTCTCTTCTGAGTAGTGACCAGCAGAATTGACTGGAATGCTTGACAAAATCATAGGCTCTTGGCCTCATTCTGGACCCAGTGAGTGAAAACCTCAGAAATCTGTCATCTTCATGGGTTCCTCAGGTGAACCGGATGTTTGGCCAGTTTTGAAACCACTGCCCCAAGAAATGCAGACACCACAGTGGCTTTCTGCCTGCCTCTCACCGTACAGTGCAGCCCTGGAGCCTGGAAGCCAGCATTTTCCCATTCCTTACAGGCCCCTCATGAGGTGAAGGGAGTGCTGCTTAACTGTATAGTGTCAGACCCCAAATAATCTCCCTCAACGGACCAGCGCCCCGCTAGTGAAAACCAACTGCAGACCTAAACCTTCCCTATTTCCAGGGTTTCACTGCTTCCTGTGACTTTAGGGAGGAGGTCTGAGGTTGAGACAGCTCTGAGGAGCTTCAGAGCACGTGAGGCACTGGATGCGTGAGACCTTGAGGGGGGAATTGTGTGCACATGGGCTTGGGGCTGTTTGTGTGTATTGTTGTACATGTGTGAGTGTGTGTTGAGTGCTTGTATGGAAACCAGCAATCCAGTATGGAAACCAGAACCCAGTGCTTGATGTTCTCAGCATCCTGCCACTGGCGGGGGCTCAGCCCCTACCTCCCCAGCCTGTCTCCAGGTTTACCTCTGCCTACTCCCCACTGAAGAACATTGGCTCGGGCTGACCCCGGAGACTCTGGGTGAGGAGTTGAGGTGCTTGGTCATGGACAAAAGGTCCTCTGTAAGGGGTCCTAAGCTGTGTTCTAGGACACCGGGGGGTCCACAGAGATTGAGCACTAATATGATCCTCTTCCCCTGCCAGGTCTTGGATTGTATGTCACCATTCCCCCCACCACCCGAGTCCCTACCTGACCACTGAAGCTAAGGTTGCTCCAACCCCAGTCACCATTACAACACTCCATTTTATTTTCTTCTAAGAATTATGGTTATCTGATATCATCTTGGCTATCTGCTTAAGTTATGTCAGTGTTGCAAAGTCATTAAGAATAAGGAATCTAGCTGGGGTCAGTGGCTCACGCCTGTAACCCCAGCACTTTGGGAGGCTGAAGGGGGCAGATCATCTGAGCTCAGGAGTTCAAGACCAGCCTGGGCAACACAGCCAAACCCCACCTCTAAAAATACAAAAAATTAGGCGGGCATGTTGGCGCATGACTGTAATCCCACCTACTCAGGAGGCTGAGGCAGGAGGATTATTTGAGCCCAGGAAGCAGAGGTTGCAGTGAGCAGAGATCGTGCCATTGTGCCCCAGTCAGGGCAATGGAGTGAGACTCTGTCTCAAAAAAAAATAAAATAAAATAATAAAAATAAAAATAAAAATAAAAAGAGTAAGGATTCTGGAGTCAGACTGCCTGGATTCAAATCCTGGTTCTACCAGTTTGCACCTGTGTGACCTGGGCAAGTCACATAATACACTCTCTGTGTGTTAGTTCCCGTCTTGGTAAAATTGGGATCATGACAGTGTCCACCTCAGAGGGTTGTTGAAGGAATAGATGAACTGATATAAGCAAGGCAATTAGGACAGCACTGGCCTGCAATAAATGCCATGCAAACATTAGTCCCTGCTGTTGTTATTAGTACAAGACCATATCACTCACTTCTGCAGTCCCACTGCCTTGAAAAGGGCTGGGAACCACATACACACTCAATAACTGTTGAATGAATAAGTGAATGAATAATGAATGAATGAATCTGAGTCCTCCACCAAAATGTGTGACCCAATTCCCTTCTCTGGAGCTTAACTCAGCTCTAAGCTGGATCCAAGAGAGAAACAGCAAAACTCATTTTGGAATATGGTTACGGACACAGCCTCCTTTCTCTGATAATTGAGTATCCCTGGCCCCGGCAGCAGTGGCCATGTGCAGCTGGTGCTGTGGCCTCGTGCTGCCCCCTGCTGGTTGCCTCCAAGACAAGGCCAGCAAACCCAGAGAGACTCAAGCCCAGCCAGGTGAGTGGTGGGATCACATGAGCACCTTGTCTGCAACTTCGGATGCTCCCGCTTTCCTCCTCTCGACGATTGTCCTGGTTGCTTTGCTCACTGGGGTTGTGCCCCCACCCTGCAGGGCCAGGGCCAGACGCACGCTCCTACTGCGTGACCGCAGGTCTTCAGCATGCTGGATCCCGACAGCCCTCAGTGCACAGCAAGCCCCGGGGACTGGCGGGATGCTCTGCTCCTTGTCTATACATCTGTCTCCTTTCCAAGCCTAGAATGTGATCTCTTTAGGGCAGGACCCACAGGCCACCCCCACACTCTCCTTGCCTGCCCCTCCACAGGTCTCTGTGGCCGAGGCAATTTCAGAATCCCCTCAAGACAGGACTTTGCTGCTGCTCTTGCCCGAGCCCTGTCGGGGCTGGATTTGTGGGCTTCTCTCTGGGTTCCCTTTGCGGACTTTTTGGGTATCTCTCTCAAATGCAGTCACTTTTTTCTTTCCTCAGCATCAGCAGGGAAAGAATCTGGACTTTTCTCTGAATCAGGTTCTTTTGGAGAACACTACTAAGTATATGCTTGTGATTTTCGTGTGATGACCTCGCGTCATTTCAAAAGGACAAAGGGGTTCAGGCTGGGAACCTGTAACTCAGGACAGTTTAGGGACTCTGCCTGGGACCCATCAGGCCACCAGCAGAGGGTCCGGTGCACAGATGGATGGTGGGGATCTCCTAGGGGATCTCAAATGGAAATGACATTGTTGTTCCGCCAGCTTCTACACTGTTCTTGTTTCTTGTTCTTGGGCTTCCTGGGAAGTCAGCTGGTGGAAGCACAGGATTCTTGCAGAAGTCCCTGAAGGTGCCTTCACTGGGTGCATGATGAAGCTGGGGGCAACCCCCTTGTTGGGTACCCTATGGACCTGCAGGGCAGTGCCCTCTTAAGCCAAGGATGACAAACATTAGCACACATACTTACCCTCTCCTCCCCGATATCTGTGCCAGATGCAACTAATCAACGATCTCCTACACAGCCTGGAAAAGATCCTGAAAGCCATTTAACCCCACAGTCATTACCAAGGGATGTGAGATGGTGTGGGGAAAAAGACTCATTGTCCAGCCCTCCAGCCCTGCCCAGAGCTCCTGATGTGTCCAGCTTCCTATCCCCATGAGAATCTATGACCTTGACAATTACAGAAGTACCACCAAAAGCCATATGCCGAGTTGCATGTGAGACCCTTTTCCCCAGTGAGAGCATCCTCTGGAGACCTCACCTTGCCCAGCAGTGCTGACCCTTTCCTGTGCTGTCTGCAAGCAGTTCCTGGGTGGTCATCTCTCCTACACTGATGGGATCTGGTTCCCAAGCACCCCAAGGGCAGGAATCAGAAAAGGTCATGAACATTTTGGATTCACTATGTGAAAAGGGTCTGGGGAGTCCAGAGGTAGAAGCTCCCAACCATGGCTGAGATGGAGGGGAAGGTGATGAGACATGGTTTAACATCACACTCACTGTTATATGGTCGTGCTTGCCTAATGCACCAAGATTATGAGCTAAATTCCACATCAGATAAAAAGCAGTGCCGCTTTCCTCCTCAGCCAGGGAGATGTAAACCACCTGGAGCTTCAGGGCAAGGAGTGTAAAATCTGACCCCAAGCCACAGAGCAAAAGCAAGGGAAGGATGGGAAGGGATGCCAAATTCCCTGAGTTCTTGCTGCTTTCAATTCTGATCAATGCCTAAAAGGAAGTGAATATGTTATCTCAAAATTCTTTTTATCTTTTTTGTATCTCTGCTCCTTTCTTATCGCTACTACATATGTTGGCTTTTTTTTTTCTTATACAGATTTATCAACATGTATTTGTCTAATTCAACTCTTAAAAAGTCTAGTTTCTGAGATAATTTGTCATATCTATTATTGCTTTTTGTCGTTGTCAACACAGGGTCTTGCTCTGTCTTCCATGCTGAAGTGCGGTGTCACAATCATGGCTCACTGCAGCCTCGACTTCCTGGGCTCAAGTGATCCTCCTGCCTCAGCCTCACAAGTATCTGGGACTTCAGGTGCACGCCACCACACCTGGCTAATATTTATTTATTTATTATAGAGACAGGATCTCCGTATGTTGTCCAGGCTGGTCTTTAACTCCTGACCTCAAGTGATCCTCCCCAATCAGCCTCCCAAAGTGCTGGGATAACAGGTATGAGCCACCATGCCCAACTTATTTCTATTATTGTCATTTGTTTTATATTTCATTAATTTCACTTTTATATTTATTTGTTTTGTCCTTTTTTTGTTGTTTTAAAAATTTGTTTTAAGAAGATGAACACTTAGTTCAACTATTTTCAGTCCATGTTTTTTTATTTTTAAAATTTTAGTAATGAAAGCAAAGTTACTTATTTCCTCTGAGTATAGCTGTAACTCTATCTCATAGATTTTGGGATACATATTACTGTTTCATTAAGGTTTAAAAATTACTACTAAGATTATGCATTTTTCACGTATCAGTACTATTGGCCATTAGTATTTCTTCCTTTATGAATTTCCTCTTCTCATTCTTATGCCATTTTCCTATTTAGATATTCATTATTTTCTTATTGATTTATCTGTTGTGTACATTGCAAATACATAACCACTTTTCTTTTACATTGTGTTTTACTTTTCAGTAGAAAAGTTTTACGTATTTCTTATGTAGTCAGATATATCAATATTATCACTTTGGGTTCCCCTGTCTGATAACATTCTTAGATAGCTCTTTTTCCTTCCAAGACTACATAAATTGTTACTTATATTTTCTTCTAATTTTAATTTGTATATGTAATAAAATAATCTGATTTTACACTTCCTCTAAATGTTTATTTAACCCAGAATGATTCATTGGTAAGTCATTGTTTTCCTATGATTTTGGCATTCTCTCTTTATCATGCATATAGAACACATACGTGTATATATACATACTTGAGCCCATTTTTAGCCTTTCTATTCTTCTTCATTGTTCTATTTCTGTGTCATTAATATACAACTTCAATTATGCTAGTTTTATAAAACCCTCTAACATAGATGGGTCAAGTTCATCCTAGTTATCCTATTTTAAGCAATTTTCCTAACCCTTGAGAGTCATTCTTTCATAAGAGCTTTAGAATCACTTCATGAAGTCCTCACACCTTCCTCCACTCCCTCTTTTCTTTCCTGTGAACATTGTATAGGGGTACAGTAAGTGTCTAGGTTCTCTGCGGGATCCCCATCCCTCTCATCCTCTCTCTGTTCTCTCAGGCCGTCTCTCTAGCTGGGGGCCAAGCATCCCCTTCCTGCCCTGATCCTTCCCTCTGGTCACAGAATGCGTTTGCTTGGCCTGAAGTTGTCATCAGAACTTTCAGCCCTGGCCTGGCCCCAGGCACTTACGCTTCAAATGAAGTATTAAGGGAATTAAAAAATAAATATGTACAAGGGCTGGCAATGAGGCCACTCTGCAATTTCCTCAGATCAAAGGGCCTAGAGACATCTTAAAAACACTTTATTCAACCCTACAAACAGGACTTACATAAGGACCATTCTGCTCAGGCAGGGTGCTGCTAAGTCCCTCTCTGTGGCTCAAAGGTGTTTCAGCCAGGTAGTCTGAGATTGCCTACAGACTCTTAAGTAAATAGAGGGCAAACATGTTAATATTCAAATGTATCCAGGAAGGATGGGTGCTGCAGTAACAACCCCCAAATATCACTCAGAGTACAAGTCCATTGCCTAGATCCAGGCAGTTGCTTTCCATGCATCTGCTCAGGTTCCAGAATGTTTGATTGTACAACAACTTTATTATTATTATTATTATTATTATTATTATTATTGAGACAGGGTCTCACTCTGTCGCCTAGGCTGGAGTGCAGTGGCGCAATCTCTGCCCACTGCAACCTCCACCTCACGGGTTCAAGTGATTCTCCCTTCTCAGCTTCCCAAGTAGCTGGGATTACAGGCACGTGCCAGCACTCCCAACTAATTTTTGTATTTTTAGGAGAGACAGGGTTTTGCCCATGTTGGTCAGGCTGGTCTTGAACTCCTGACCTCAAAGTGATCCAGCCGCCTCGGCCTCCCAAAGTGCTGGGATTATAGACGTGAGCCACCGCACCTGGCCTTGTACAAGAACTTTATATCTACCAATCTGTCTATAATCACAGAAGACATGGCAGCAGACGAGAGGGCATTTTAGAAATGTATACCCACTCTTTTCTGCTTCTCCCCAGGAGTGACCCACATCACAGGTTCATGCCTGCCTTCAAAAGTCCTCTCAGTGAAAGATTGGCGAGAAACAGTAAAACCTACCATAAGATGCCAGGCCTGCTGTTAGCCATAGAGAGGTCTAATAGTCACAGGCAATTAGAGTGGACAGTAATGAAGACTGCTTTGATCTCTGAGTGGCTTGGTAATTGCACAAAGAGAGGTCTCTTCTCTATTCTCATGGTTAAAACTCTTATCATCCGTCCATTCATTCTAAATCCACTTGTTGAGCACCGCTATTGTCCATTGCCAGAACAATCCTGCAGCTTACTCATCTTGTTATGTTAGGGAAGTGCAGGATCACGAGGGCATGACTAGCCATGTCAATCTTTGTATCCAATGCCTGGATAAATATTTGACATACAGATTAAGACTGCATTTCTCTAATAGATAACTAGTTTCTTTGCTCTAGGTAGGTAACTTGAAAATGTCAAGCACATCATTAAACTTGAATTTTAAGGTGAACATCTGGAAAGGAAGAGTGGTTGAGAATGCCCTGAACTTACGCCACTCAAGTTTCAGTGATGTGTATCAAGGGGATTCAGAACATAGACAGGATCCTAGAAAAGCAAACGTCAGAGGGCTCCACATCAGCTGCTCATTATGGAATGTGGACTGGGTTGGTGACAGAAGGTTGAAAACCAGGATGAGACTTGAGAGTGTACTTTTTAACTGAACAGGGGTTTCTCTATGAAACTGCTGTGAAAGTCCCCGCTTCAGACATGGATGGGTCCCAGCCTGCTCTCATGGTGTCCATGGTGAGAGTCACAACATCACCTGAGAGTGCAAATCACTTGACACACAGGCTACTAAACAAGGGACCCTGACTGCTACAGTTAAGGTGGGGCAGACACTGAGATCTGTGTTGACCTTGGCCCATGTGTGTTAGTGCAGGGGAGACCTCTGTGCTCAGGAACTGGTTAGGACCTGAATTTCTGAAATAACTGCTTCAGTCCCCTATTCCAATCAGCCTGTGCCTACAGATCTCAAATGGCCCTCCCTGCTTGTTCTCTGTGCTGGAGAGCAAACCAGACCCCTGTGGCCCATGGCACTGATGGATCTGAAGCTTCTTCTTGGGGTTTGAAGTATCCACATTCCAGGCCTTCAACATCATAGGAGATTTTTTTCTCTCCACACACTTCAACTACGCTGACTTTTCCCTTAGCAAGAAGTAGGTTTGGCTTAAGTATTGGGGTAGGTAGTGGTCACTTTCAGGGGGTCTTCCCAGACCATCATGATCTTGCATCTATCCCAGTGGCCATATTGTACCACGGGACCCACTCCCCAAGTTTAGTTGATTGGACCAGAGGTGGGCATCTGAGACAGAAAGACTCATTTCCACAGGAGTTTCCAATTGATCCCATTGGAGAGTTTCTGATTTCTGTGCAGCCGTCTTTAGGACACATGATTCTTAATGCTTGGGTAGTCAAGAGACCAGGAAGCAGAGGAAGCTGGTGTGCAAAAGAGGGAAAGATGCAAAGATGCACAGGGAGAAGCAGAAGCCAGGGAGAGAGCATGCCATTACCTGAGTCCCCCTAGTCCTTTTTAAGCCCATTTGGAACCCTTTATTCAGAGAAAAAAACACTTCTCTTGGTTTATGCTACATCCAAGTGTTTTCTCTTACTTGTAATAAAAAAGCCATTCTGAGCTCCCTCGATGAATGTGTTTCGGTGTGGTCTCTGAGTAGTTTGCTCATTATTGTGTAACTGACTTATATTTCAGAAGCTGCCACAAATTTGGGTTTTTTTTTTTTCAGTAACTGGAGAATGATCTTAGCAGAGAACCTGGGCTGCATGCTGTCTTGAAGTGTGGCTTTTGTTTTATAGACATGTTGTCCTATATATGAAATGTAGGAGTGTCGGGAAGAGGGATGGGACTGGGGGGTCCCATCCAGAAAGAGAAGTCTCCCTGGTTTGTGTAAACTAAGGAGAGAGTGGCTGATTTTCTATCAGGAAAGAGGTTGTTTGCCCCCCCCCTTTTTTTTTTTTGAGATGGAGTCTCGCTCTTTCGCCCAGGCCAGAGTGCAGTGGCGCAATCTCAGCTCACTGCAAGCTCCGCCTCCCAGGTTCACACCATTCTCCTGCCTCAGCCTCCTGAGTAGCTGGGACTACAGGCGCCCACCACCGCGCCCAGCTAATTTTTTGTATTTTTAGTAGAGACGGGGTTTCACCGTGTTAACTAGGATGGTTTCTATCTCCTGACAGCATGATCCGCCTCCCAGGTTCACACCATTCTCCTGCCTCAGCCTCCCGAGTAGCTGGGACTACAGGCGTCCACCACCGCGCCCAGCTAATTTTTTGTATTTTTAGTAGAGACGGGGTTTCACCGTGTTTCACCTGACAGGGGTTTCACCTGACAGCATGATCCGCCCGCCTCGGCCTCCCAAAGTTCTGGGATTACAGGCATGAGCCACCACGCCCAGCCTTGTTTGCCCCTTTTATGGGGCCATGGTTCATCCAGGTGTCACTGACATCTTTTGAACACAGGTGTCATTTAAATCATTATGTGCAATAATATGTCAAATCAACTAAATATGCATGATCTTTGGCCTATATATTTACAGCCTAAATGTATGGGCTTTAGGGTCAAAATGACCTTGCTAATGACCCAGCTGTAACACTGACACCCCCTTTTGTCCCTGCACAGGTTCATCCCTCTCTGTGCCTTGGTTTTCATATTTGGAAAATGACGAGGAGGATTTAACTAGATTATCTCTAAGGTTGAATGGGGAAAGAACATTCCTGGAATCACCAGGCAAGAAGAGGATTGGAGGTAAATCGGAGCTTGGCCAGAGACCCTTTGTTCCAAAGTTCCCTAAGATTTCAGACAGCTTTAGGATTGTGCAGCTGGTACTCCTCCCATGAGTCAAGAGGCAGTCATGTTGGCAGTGATGGAGAGAGATCCTGGGCAGTGCAGGGGTGAGGAAGGGCCTACTGAGTGCAGGGCCATGTGGCCTGGCTGGGGAGGCAGACATTCTCTGCCAGGTCACCCTGCCATGCTGTGCAGCTTCCTGGGCTCAGACCTTGAAATAAGAGGCAGCAATGGAGGCTGGGAGCCTCCTTTTATCCCTGGGCTCCAGCCAGAACTGGCTAGAGGAATCCGGGGTTCAGGAAGAGGTGCTGAATAGGGATACATCTGCAGGGGAGCCACCAGCCTCCAGAAGGAATTTGAATGAGGGGACAGGATGAGCTCATCTCTGGAGTGAGTGTAAGAAGAGAAGACAGCTGAGAGCTGAGACTTTGGCACTGCACCATTAAATGGTCAAGGAGAGAAAGAGGGACAAGTTAAAAAGACTAATAAGGGGCCAGGGGCGGTGGTCTACACCTGTAATCCCAGCACTTTGGGAGGCCAAGGCAGGCAGATCACTTGAGCCCAGGAGTTCGAGACCAGCCTGAGCAACATGGCAAAACATCATCTCTACCAAAAATACAAAAAATTAGCCGGGCGTGATGTCTCATGCCTGTGGTCTCAGCTACTTGGGAGACAGAGGTTGCGGTGAGCCCAGATCGCACCACTGCACTCCGATATTGGTGACAGAGTGAGACCCAGTCTCAAACAAAAAAAAGAGACCAGGCAAGAGTGGTATCTGTGAAGCTGGGAGGAGGAAGTGCTTGAAAGAGGAGGGAGAGATCTGCAGGGTCAAATGCAGCTGATGGTTTGAGAAAAGGGCCTGAAAAGGAGTCTTTGGGTTTAGGGACAGGAAGGTCATTGGAGACCCACTTTTATCCCTTATAGGGAAAGTAGGCTGGCCCCTTCTTCCCCTGAAAGGAGTTTTAGTGTGAAGGAAGCCTCACATTTCACTCTGTGGTGTCCTGCAGCAGCTGTAACTTTTGGCCACATTCTGGAGAGAAGTCCTTCCCGGCACAGATGGTCACCTTTTTATTAGGATATTGGCAGCATGAGGGTCTAAGCCTTGACTTCTGGCCAAACTCCTGGGCCAAGCACTGCCCCACCCACCCCAGTTGGCTCAGAACTCGCAGACCACAAGACGCTTTTCTCCACAAGCCCTGTCATTCCACTTGCCATTGGTGAAGATCTCCACACAGTCCTCTGACCCGCCATCATCGTTGGGCTCCCCTGGGGCCCAGTTGGAATAGACCAGGGACTCTCCTGTGGGGTAGGTGAACTTGCCCTCTGTCTTGGAATCAGTCATGCTCAGGAAAGCAGCCTCGTTCTTAGCTACGACCAGCTGTTGCAAGGCGGCATTCTCAGCGGCAGAGCGTGGAGAGGCCAACTGTCCACCAGCCTGTGTGCACAGCAGCTGTGCCTCCGTAAATGGTTTTACAAAGCCTGCTGTCTTGAAAATCTTCTCCCCGACACTTTGGCCATTTGGGAAGAGCTCAACTAGGAGAAGAAGAAAGTCAGGTTGGGGTTGTGGCATCACCTGGCCAAAGCTCAGGGGCTGTGAGACCTCTGTGCTCCAACCTGAGCCTTTCAGACCTCCCAAACAGGCACCGCATCAGGATGCCAGAGAGAATGCAAGAGAGATTGTTCCAGAACAGCCCCCGTCCCATGACCTACCCTGTGAGGTGACACCATGATTCCCCACTTACAGATGAGAGTACTGGAGTTTAGAGAAGCTAAGAGGCTCAAAGTCACACAAGCAGCAAACGTGCAGTTAGGAATTCAACCTCACTCAGTCTGACACCAAAGCTCAGACATGCTCTTTCTATTTTGGCACATGCTATATACTAGAATTGATTTCTCAATTACTAGGTAGAAGTGAACAATTTTTCCCAAGTTGATCACAGTGTAGACCAGGCCAGTTTCTGAGAGTACAGAAAACACCTGCAGTTAGCCCACTGTCACCCTGTACAACAGTAGGGGATGTGGGGTTGTCGGAGAGGGTCTGTGCTGTGTGATGGGGTGATGAAAGGGGAGAGACAGGAAGAGGAGAGGACATCTGAAAGCTGTCAGATGCTAATCTCTGCTCTGGGTCTGGCCTCATGTCGGCCTCTTAGTATGCACATGGATGATGTCCTAGCCAGTCAGCCTGCCTGGGAGGTGCTGAGGGAGTGGAGGAGAGCATCTGAAGGGCATGTGTGAGTGAGGCGCAGGGGAGTGGTGTTAGTGCTGGAGACAGCCCTGGGTGGGAACTGGAAGACCAGGCATTCAGATCCACATTGCGTGGGCAAGGGAAAGTCACTTCCCTTTTCAGGGTTTCCATTTCCTCATCTCTAAAATGAGGGCTCACTTCACAAAAGCTGTTGCGTGGGCAAGGGAAAGTCACTTCCCTTTTCAGGGTTTCCATTTCCTCATCTCTAAAATGAGGGCTCACTTCACAAAAGCATTGCCTGTGTGACATGTCAAGTATCTCTTTTTAGTCTGTCTTTGTGGCTCTTGGGCCCATGCATGGAAATCTTCCGCAAAGGACACTGGAAGCTCCAGAGAAGGCTGTGCCCCTGGCTTTGTTGGGCTGCTCAGAATGCAGGCTGCACCCTGACTCATCGTCCTTAAGATTCTCCATGGGCTCAGGGTGGCACCCAGAGCAGCCCTGAACAAAGTCAGCATAAGAGTTCATGTACCATTACTAAGTTTATGTGCCATGCACATATGTGGGCATGCCTTTGAATATATGTGCATCTACCCAAAGGTACGTGGGAGTATGTAAGGTTCATCTGGATGTGTGTGCATATTTGTGTGTGCTATATAGACAACATATGAGCTCATGTATGTAGATGGAGGTGGAGTGAGTGATGGTGTTTAAGTGCACACACATGCAGTGGGTGCATATGGACATGTTCCTCTGTGTGTTTCTGTCACTGTGCCTCTGAGTGAATTAGAGCATATGCAGAAAGAGATATATACCAAATGCTTGAAACTCTCATTTCAGAGCTTGGGTACTTAGAAGCCAAACCTGTGTTGCACCCAGTCAGCCCTTTTATGCTCTACTACTTCAGAAAACTTTAATCTTTTATTTTTTGGCTCAATGAGATGCGCCTGAACTCAAAGCTGATATCAGGAAAGGCGGAGGAGAGTAGGGGCAGTTGGGCACTGATGTGGAGATTCAAAAAGGCACCAGGCCCTCAGCTGTGTGTCCCTGGAGGCCTCTGACTCTTCAGGATTCCAGGGTTAGGGCAAAGTCTGCTTTAAAATACCTCCAGAGCTGCAGGTAGAGCCCAGCAGTGGCTGGAGCCCAGAAGCAGCCTGCCCCCTATTTGAACCAAGAGCACGTCTAAGGTGAGATATCTGATGGCCACATACCAAGGTCAGGCCCCCACCTGCCTTGTACCCCCAGAGCAGAACCCCAGTCCTAGTTCCCAGAACAGTATCTGGTTTCTGGGCTGCCTTGGGATGTGCAGCAGCATCACTGGGGACTCCCATACCTGGCCCCTCTGAGCTAAGAAATGCAGCCCGTGTTGGGTAGCCCCTTATCTATCAGAGGGACCAGCACAAAGTAGGCAGGAGAGAGGCTCTACTGAATTGCACTGGACTCAGGACAACAATTTATCTCAGGGCACAGGTGGCATTGAGGTTGGTGGGTAGTTCAGGAGCCTGATGGCCTTAACTATGCTACTGCCAGCCTGGTGAGCTGGTGATAGGGGCCACATCCTCCTCCTTTGCCCCCTTGGATCTACTTTGAGCTCCAGGAGCAGGTGGCTGCCCTCTTCTAGCCCCATCCCAGCCTGAGCCCTACCCCCTGCCACAGTCCCAGGTCCAGCCCTACACAGGTCCCAGCTCATTCCCATCCTAGACCCAGGGCAGGCTCTGCCTCAGGTCCAGCCAAAGGTCTAGCCCCAGCCAAAGGCCAAACCAAGGTCAAGATCTAGTGTGGGGCCCAATGCCAGTGCTGGGTCCAGGTTCAGATCCAGGAACTCACCTTTCTTATACTGAGAGAAAGCAGCCTGGAGGTGCTGTACTTGTCCCTGTAAGGCCTCAACCTGCTGCCTCAGAGAAGCAACATCTGGAGGGGAGAAAATGGCCAAGTAAAGACTTGTCCAGAGAGCGAAGGAAGAGCTCAGAGTCTGGGCCCCAAAGGAAGGGTGTCTAGTTTCGGGCACATATTGTGGGGCTGACCCACAGCAAGCCCACATCTACTGACACAGCTGGCCTCTGCTGTGTAAGGATGTCTTATGGTTCTGCTATGAACAAATTGCTGCCTGTACTTCACTGACACTGAACCAGATGACATTGTGACTTTAAAGTCTTGGAATATAATGGCATCTCCATTGGGTGGGTGGGGGGGTTGCTGGGCAGGAATACACACTCATGTGTTTCCTATCCACTGGGTTTTTAATGCCCAAAACTGTCCTATGAATTGGGAAGGCAGTTGTAGTTTTCCCGATAGTCAGATGGAGAAGCTGCCCAGGTTGCTTTCCCATGAGTACTAAGTGGCTAAGACCAGAGCCCCATGCTCCTGCCTTCCAGCCTGTCCGCCTTTCCTGAGTTCCACCCACCAGCTGCCATTAATGGGGCACACATCCCAGAGCCCCTCCTCTGGGATGAGGAGGGCTTCCTCTCTGCCCACCCATGCCCCAGCGGGGCTTCCCTGGGCCAGGAGCTGCTACCTTACCTGGAAGCCCACTTTCTCCCTTTGCTCCTTTGTCTCCAGGAATGCCTTTGTCCCCCTTCAATCCCGGGGGTCCCCTGGCACCTGGACTTCCCTGGGGACCCATGGCTCCAGCAGACCCTGGGGTAAAAGAAGAACTGGGTGAGCTATGTACTCATTTTATTTTTTTTGTTTTTAGCATTTTTACCTTCCCATACATGGACTAACTATCCTTATTGCCCAGAAATAGACAGATGGTCCCCAGTACCCAGCCATGCAGCTCCCTGTACACTGACTGTCCCTGTCACCCAGCAATCAACCCCGCTGTGGAAAACTGCCCCGCCACCCAACAACTAACCTTCCCTGTATACAGACTTCTCCATTGCTTGCGCCTCACTCTCCCTAGATAGGAACAGTCCCCAGAGCCCCCTCATGCACCCTTCTTGGATACAGATTCTCTCCATGTTCCAGCGATACCACCTCTGCCTTTGTGGGTGGTGGAGGGGGTGTAGGCATTGACAGCTCCAAGCAGGCACAGGAGAACTGGACCCAGCCCAGCCCAGCTCTTTCCACTGCTCACCTGCTGCCCCTGTGTTTCCAGGGACTCCACGCTCACCAGGGACACCTCGCTCTCCCTTAGGGCCTGCGAGGCCTCTTGCCCCTGCCGAGCCCTGCATGCCTGGGGCACCTACTTCTCCTGAAGAAGGAACACACAGGAACAAACACAGCTAAGAGCGCGTTCAGCAGGTGTGGTTTTGTTAGCAATGGAGCTTTTTGCCCGCAACTTTAGGGTCAGAGAGAGAAGTGGGGAGACTCTCCTTGCTTTCTGGGGCTCCTCTGTGGAGGGTGAGAGGAAAATATTGCAGTTGTGGGGATTGGGAGGGTGCATGGCAAGCCTTTGCAGCATCAAGGGTCTGGGCTCTCCCTGGCACTCTGAGCACGCCTCAGGTCATATCATGGACCCTTGTCCTTCCTCCTTTCCCTTCTCAGACTGGCCACAGACCAGCCACCTACCTTTGGGCCCAGCTTCTCCTTTTGGGCCTGGCTTGCCCTGAGGTCCTATGTTCCCCTGCTTCCCCAGGGGACCTTCTCTTCCAGCTGGACCAGGCACACCGGGAGGTCCTGGAGGTCCTGAGCAAAAGCACCAGCCCGGTCAGTAACAATGAATCCTCTTGGCAGGAGGAGTGTGTAGTAAGGTGAGGGTAATAACAGAGGTAAGGGAGGCAGCATTGTTGTCCTCCCAACAGCAGGTCCCATCTGTCCTGAAATGACCCAGTGCCACCTTCAGACAACCTTCTTCCTGGGATGGGCTCTGTGCGTGCCCACTGGCATATCCTTGCAGCTGCACCACCACCTGGAAACACCTGAAGTCGACACCCAGTTGCTCACCACTTGGCCCAGTGTCTCCCTTTGGTCCAGGTTCTCCAACAGAGCCATTGTCCCCTTTGGGCCCAACTGGGCCAGCTTGTCCAGGCATCCCTGCTTGCCCTGCAGCTCCTGGCAAACCTGTAGCAGCAGAAGAAATGGACAAAGACCTGGCCCTAGACCCAGAAAGGGCCAGCCTCCTGCAGGATCAGCCCCTAGCATTCCTTTAGGATTCTGCAGAGCATGAGACTTCCACCGTCACACACCCAGGCCCAGTGGTGATCCAGGAAATGGGTATCAACATCCCCATTTTATAGATGAGGAAGAAGCCTTCCAGAGTTGGAGGCGGATTAAAGCCAAGACCTGCCTGACCTTCTATGCGGTGCTCCTTCCCCTACCCCAAGGCCACTGTATTGATGGCAGGCAATTTGTCAGCTCTTACCTGTGATCATGGACTTCTTGCATTCCATATATATATATTAGGGAAGCCAACCAGAAATGGCACCAGACAGGTGGTGCTAACTTGTTCATTCAGTTATTGGTCGATTTGCTCATTTATTTGTTCACTAAGAGCCATCTATGCAGCATCTACTTTATACCTAGCACTAGGCAAGATGCAAATCTGAGCTTAGCCTCAGGTCCTGCTCAGCAGGGGGTTCATAATACACTGTGAGACAAGGGAGAGGAAGGACAATGCATGAAGTGTCCCTCATCTCATCTGAGCGTCCCCACCCCAGCACTCACACACTCAGAGCTTTCTTCTTCAAAGAGAAAGTGGGATTTTAAGAGCAAGGAGAATCGAGGGAGATTTGCAGAGAGGAGGTGACATTTCAGGCTTGGAAGCCATGCTCCCGTGGCAGAGGAGGCCAGGCCTCCATGGGGGGTGAGCATGTGGTTGTGGGTAAATTTGCTGGATGGGTGGAAGAATCTGTGCTGGCGTATCCCAGCAGCACCACCACCTGGAAACATCTGAATTCCATGCCCAGTGGAATTCCGTGCCCTGGGTCCAGCCACTGGTTACAGTCCTTATTAGGGATGAAATGGAAGCACAGAGGGTTATAGGATGGGCCCCACCTCTGACACCCAACAGCACATTTTCCTCAAGGCAGGATGCCCTGACCCCATGTGGAGCCTTGCTTGGGCTTCACCCAGGCCAAGTCAGCAGCAGGAAGATGGACCAAGAGAAAAATGTCACTCTCCAGAAGAGAGTGTTAGAGCCCACTTGTTCTTGGTACACAAACTATGGAGGCCATGAGAGCACCAGGGTGGAGGAGGGGCACCTCCCCAAATGCTGCACCCATGCCTTTCAAAACACTCACTGTGTATCGTAGTGTACCCAGAGACCTAGACCTGCACCCGAGTGCCACCTGAAGTGGAGCTTTATGGCCCAGCCTTTTGCCTGTTTTGACTCCTAAAATTCCTCCACCCCTTCCAGCTTCCATTCACTCACTCCATAAATATCTCTGGAGCCTCTAATACATGCCAGGCACTGTCCTAAATACTGGGGATAAACAGCCCTTCTCTGGGGAGCTTCAACTCTATCTCATAGAAACAGATAATAAAACATTAAAAATGTACAACATATGATATGTTAGATATAATGCCACAGGGAAAAGTAAAGCATAGGGTGTGTTGGGGGTAGGGTCTGTTTTTGGTAGGGTGGTCGGGGAGTGCCTCACTGAGAAGGTGATCCGGGAGTAAAGTCCTGAAGGAGGTGAAGTATGAGCTGCAGGGACAGCTATGAGAAGAGCAAATGGCAAGCCCCTAAAGAGGGAGGAGGCTGAGCGTGACCGGGGGCCAGAAAGAAGCTATGTGGTTGGAGCTGAGTAGGGGTGGCAGCACCAAATTCAGAGGAGCAGCAGGGGTACAGGGGTACAGGGTGGTCCTGCCGGGACTCATGGGCTGCTGTAAGGTGTGTGATTTGTCCAAGGGAGACGAGCATCCCTGGTGGGACTCCCCCACGGAATATTGCTGAGCAGGAATGCTGAAGGTGCTGAGGAATAAGGAATTGTTCCCCACAAAGGCAGGATCTGGGTCATATTTACCCTCCATGATACGTCGGGGATGTCACCAGAGTGACTCAAGCTTCACCCTCCACCCCTGCTCAAAGATCTCTTCTTTCAAGCCCCAATTTTCCTCGTAGCAGATTCTGGGAACCACATGCTTCCAACTCTGCAGGGGTGGTTGTCACAAGCACAGACTTTGGCCCACAGAGACCTATTCTGGGTAGATTCTGAGGATGCTGAGGATTCTGAGGGAACCCAGCCCTCAGACCTGTAACAGTGGAGTGACTGGAGAGACTGCGATTGAGAAGCCAGAGTGGAGCCTCATCCTGTAGCCCCACCGTGTTCTGTCCTGTGTCCAAGTACTGACCCAAAGCCAGGCCTGGAATGTGCATGGGTTGAGGCACATATGTGGGGAAGGGAGGCCTTGACCATGCTTCAGGCAGCAAGCTCCCAGGGCCATTGTGGGAAAGATCCCTGAGATTCAAATCCGGGGCCCCACTGGAGGCCAGACTGAGTTGGGAATCTCTGAGAAAGAGCTGCCAAGATGAACCCCACCCCCATTCTGGGATCCCCCCTGGACAGCCCTCCCCAAGCCCCATCCCATTCACGTTGGGAGCCACTTTCTGTCTGTAAGGGATAGGCAGATGCTTACTTGCCCCTTACCCCACAAAGCCTGGGGATATTGCTTCGTCTTTCCAGAAAGTTAAAGACTGTATCTGATCCCTTTGAAGCCCTGCCCAATGTCATAGAGGTCCCTCAGTTCATGCTGCTGGCTGATGGAATTCTCCTTTCTTGCCAGTAAGACCTAGATCTTTCCCTACAAGCGGGGAGCAGTATTTCCAGGGACAATTCCCTTACTCATCAGTACCTCTGCTAAGCTCAAGATAATTCACCTATTAGGTACAGCAGAAAATGCAACTTTATCCCAAAGACTCAAGAAAAAATAAAGCCTTTGGCTCAATGATTCATCACTGGGTGGTAGATATCATTCCCATTACCAGATAAAAAAAACAGACTCAGTGACACTGAGGGGCTCTCCCAGTGTGGAGATGGAGCCCAGGCCAGTCTGATGCAGAGCCTTCGTCCTTTCCACCTCCAGAATGGTTGCTACTTAGCCTCTCTGCATCATCATTTTCTTACCTGTCGAAGGAGATTAATATGTCCCCTGTAAGACTCTTGGGAGGATTAAATGAACTACTCCAGTGAATGCCCAAGCACAAGGGTGGACAAAGAAATGTGAGTGCCTTTTCTCCCCGTGTAATGTATTAGAGCAAATCCTCTTGATTAGGCTTGAGAATGGAGCCATGGAGCCCCATTTTTTTCCCACCCTTCATGCAGTAGTGTTTAATTAAATATTTAAAATATTTAATGCCCTGCACAGGCATCATTTAATTGGAATGAACAACTGCTAACTGCTGGCACAGGGCTCTAGAAGGCCCCAGATATCAGTAATTTACCACTGTTTGCTTGCTCTTGGGATAGGAAGGATCCGGGGATCCTAGAGGAGGAGCTAGGGCAGTTGGGTGCTGGAGGAGGCACATGGGGGCTCAGCACAGCCACTTGTTTGCCAGCTGGTGGAGCAGTGTGGAACTCGCCTTCTTGGGAGGAAGAAACACGTCTCCAGACTTCCATAACAAAGTACCCAGAGTTGCTGGGCTAGTTACAGTTCCAATGACCATTCCTCCCCAGCAGGATAAGCCCAGGGCCCCACCCTACCTGGGTCCCCCTTCTCGCCCCGAGGGCCCTCTCTCCCATCCCGTCCATCGCGACCAGGCAGGCCACTCTCCACTGAGCTACACATGACCAGGGTGCAAGCACTGGGCATTGTTCTGTGGGAGTAGGTCTTCATTTCTGCTTCCAGGTAGCCCAGGGGCTGTGTGAGCAGGACCAGTGCAGAGAGGAGGAAGAGCAGCATGGCCTGGAGAGGTGAACAGAAAGAGAAAAGACATGCTTATGCTTCATGGACATGGTTTAGGGCTTGGCTCAGCTTCTAGAGGTGACAAGAAGCCCCCATTCCCTCCTTCTGTCCTCTGCTATGGGGCCTAGAGCAGCAGGAATCCAAAAGCAGTTTAAGGACAAGGAGGGCACAAGGTCTGGATGGAGAGCATGAGTTACCCAGCTGGAACTCTGACATAGGTTGACAGCAGCATCCCCCATTCCCAGGTGCTCATGTCTTCCCTTCTTGTGCCTTCCCTTGGGCACTAAGTTTGGCACAGTGGCTAGGATGTAGCATTCCTCACTGGGGCCATCTGTCACATCAAGAAGGGTTCATTGAGTGCCTCTGGGCAGGACACCCCCCGCCCACTCCCTAGACCATCTCCCTGTCTGTACCACTGAGGCAACTGGCTTAGCTCAGACAAGGCAAGCCTGTTTCTTCTCTCTTGCTGCCTTGCATGGACTAGCACTGGTGCTGATAGTGCTGGTCTGAAAATGCAGCCAGAGTCCTGAGTGCTTAGTAATGTCCTTCCTGAGCGCAGGCTGGGAGTGTGGTGCACATTTGCCTGGCAATTTGCCATTCCTCGAGCAGGTGCTGTCTCTAGAGAAAAGTCCCAGAGGGAACCCAGGTGAAAGTTTTCAGAGACACTAAACTAGCAGTAGGAGAAATCCTGAGACACCTAGAGTTCTTCTAAGACCTGAGAGGGTTTGGAAAAGAAGTATGTGGAGTCTGGGCACGGTCGCTCATGCCTGTAACCCCAGCACTTTGGGAGGCCGAGGCGGGCAGATCACTTGAAGTCAGGAGTTCGAGACCAGCCTGGCCAACATGGCAAAACCCCATCTCTACTAAAAGTATAAAAAATTAGCCAGATGTGGTGGTGCGTGCTGTAATCCCAGCTACTCGGGAGGCTGAGGCAGGAGAATCTCTTGAACCCGGGAGGTGGAGGGTGCAGTGAGCCGAGATCGTGCCACTGCACTCCAGCCTGGGCAAGAGAGTGAGACTCCATCTCAGAAAAAAAAAGAAGTCTTATATGGAAAGAGGACATGCCAGGTAGGCTCAGTCAGGCAGAAAGCTAGTGTTGTGGGTAAGCAAGAGCAACTACCCAACAGGGCACCCATTTACTATCTAAGATGGTCAGGAACTGAGACCAGGATAAGAGCAGGACCTGGGACATTAACTGTTTTGGGTATCTTTTCTCTCAATGAGAAACCGTAAAGTTATGAGAGTGAAAAGAGCTGATCAGATTCGCAGAGGCTAGGAACAAAGCCAGAGGGACTTGTGCAAAGAAAGGGGTCACCAGGCCAACTGGGGTGGTGGCAAGTGGGGGGCTTCCTGCCCAGAGGAGTGCCTTCTTCTTTGACTGCTGGTGATTCTGGGCTGTGGATGACCCCTATTTCTCACTAGCCTCTTTCAATTTTGAAATCACCACTTCCTTGGGTATCCTGGTAGTCTCTAGAAACACCTGGGTGAGCTCACTGCCAGCAGCGGCTACCTTGTTACACCTGTTCTGGCAGAGGCTCAATCATGAGCAGCAAGGGCCAGACCCAGGCCAGAGCAAGGGCATTGTTCTGTGCCCCGCAGCTCCCTCACCCCTCAGGCCCTGTGTCTGATTCTGGGGAAGAATGAAAGGCAATAGGCATTCTGTCTACAGGCTCAAGATGGCACAGAAGGCACCAGCAGCCACTGTGGCTTGAAGGACACTTGGAGAGGGCAGACCCGGGTTTTCAGGCCCAGGATTCAGATGAGGCATCTTAGCTGGGGCAGCAGATGGAGTGGGCAGAGTTGTGGTCCCCCTCAACCCCTGCAGTGCCCAGTTTATGCTAAGCTTTCAGAGTACAATTTCATTGAAAAGGCCATCTCCTCTGAACATGGATTGGAAAATCAGAGACCTACTCCAGTAAGTATATTTTTTAAAGTAAAGACCTGAAGCTATGAGAAAAACAGGCTTGCCCTGCTTTTCCACAGGCTGTTGGCACCAGGATGGGTTTAGAACCCCAGCCTGTGAGTGCCTGGGTTTGTCTCTCTTCCACTGTCCTTTCTGAAGAAATCAGTGCAGAAAAGAGCCTAGAGATAAATTAGCATTGCATTTTTCCACCTGAAGCTTCCACACTGTGGCATCCCAGGTCTAGATAGTGTCACACCCACTCTTCCACCCTGTGCACCCCCAGCTCAGAAAGCAAATCCTCCCCTGGGCTGAGGCCACTGAATAAGGGGCAGAAGAGCACCATAAGACCTCCTGTGCTCCCCACCTCCTGCGCCCATGCCTCCTAGACCAGAACAGCTACACAGACCCTCCACACCAATAGGTTGAATTGCCCAGGTCGGCAGAGGGATATTTATAGGATGTGGAGAAAATAAAAAGAAGGCAAGAACAGAGACACTTACAGGTTTCTTTTTGTTAGGCCCCAGGAGCTCCAAGCAAACTAGCCTTTGCTTGGCAGGCACTCACTATTTATGCCTGCCCTGTACCCTGAGCTGCCCAGCCCCAAAAACTCCCTTCAAGAAGTGGGGCAATTTTCTTCTTTATTGACTCACTCACTCTTATCCCCACCTGCGTTCTGGAAACCTGCCACTGATATTCACAATACTATGCACATCCATCACTATAGTTTGCAGAACACTATCAGGCCTTGAACTCATCTGCACCTTTCTCACTGCAGCTCTGTGAATTAAGTGGCATCATCAGTGTCTGTATTTTATAGATGTCTAGAAATCAGGAGTCCAGAGACCAGCAGGTTGCACAATGACCTACAGCGATTGCAAAAGGAACTCACAACTGCAGATCTTAAGAGCCAAGACCTGCTGTGTCCACTTCTCCTCTTCCTTTGTCTCAACAGCACTGCCCAGATATTGGGAAAGAGCTGAGAGCTGCTTGGAATACCTGGGCAGGGGTGGGGCAGGTAGAGTGGCTGCAGAGGCAGCAGCATGTGGGGGCAGCAGCTAGGGAGCTGCCACCTGGAAAGAGTTGCTCTTTTGCATGCTGCTCTAGGCCTCAGAGAGCCCCTGCCTTGCTTGTCTTTTGTGGGATGGATTTCCCTTAGCAGACCTCTGCCTTGCCTTGTTCAGGCTTGTTCTCCCTGCCATCTTAGCTGGTGTTTGTCTTGTGCACTGTTCTTGTAACTAGTTAGGACCCCTGAGCTGATGCTACTTTTATCCAATCTTTTAGTCTGTATGTATTTTTTTTTTTTTTGAGACAGTCTCACTCTGTCACCCAGGCTAGAGTGCCATAATGCATTTATAGCTCACTGCAGCCTCAAACTCCTGGGCTCAAGTGATTGTCCTGCCTCAGCCTCTTTACAGGTGAGCATGATCACACCTGGCTAATTTCTCTTTTTAATTTTTTACAGAGATGGGGTCTCACTCTGTTGCCCACGCTGGTCTCAAACTCCTGGTCTCAAGCAATTCTCCTGCCTCAGCCTACCGAAGTTCTGAGATTACAAGTGTAAGCCATCATACCCAGCACCAATCTGTATCTTTTAAGTGGAACATTTACTCCATTTATTATCAAGGTTAATATTGATATGTGATGTTTTGTTCCTGTCATGATAATTGTTACCCAGTTGCTTTTTAGTCTCAATTATGTAATTGCTTTATATAATCTGTGAGTTTTTCACTTTAATGTGCTTTTATGATGAGGAGTATTGTCCATTCATTTCCATGTTTAGAACTTTAAGCATTTCTTGTAGTGCTGGTCTTGTGGTGACAAATTCCCTTTGCATTTGTTGTATGGGAAAAACTTTATTTCTCCTTCATTTATGCAGCTTAGTTTAGCAGGATACAAAATTCTTGGCTGGCAGGATTTTTGTTTAAGTAGATTAAACATAAGACCCCAATCTCTTCTGGCTTGTAAGGTTTCTGCTAAGAAGTCCATTGTTAGTCTGTTGGGTTTTCCTGTATAGATTAGACATTTCTCTCTTGCTGCTTTTAGGATGTTTTCCTTCACATTGACTTTGGATAGTCTGATGACGATATGCCTTTATGAGGTTTCTCTTGTAAAGCATCTTCCAGGTGTTCTCTGAGCATCTCCTATCTGGATGTCTAATTCTCTAGCAAGACCAGGGAAGTTTTCCTGAATTATTCCCTCAAATAGGTTTTCCAAGCTTTTAATTTTTTTTCTTCTCCCTCAGGAATGTCTATATATTGTATATTTGGTAACTTTATGTAATTCTATATTTTTCAAAGTCTTTGTTCATTTTTAAAAATTTATTTTTTCTGTATTTCTGTCTGACTAGGTTAATTCAAATGACTGGCCTTCAGGCTCTGAAATTATTTCTTCTGCTTGGTCTAGTCTTTTGCTAAAAGTTTCAACTATATTTTATAGTTCCTTCAATAAATTTTTATTTCTAGAAGTTCTATTTGGTTTTTGTTTTTTAATCTCTATCTCTTTTGTAAATTTTTCATTAATATCCTGAATTATTTTTCTGATTTCCTTATGTTAGTTTTCAACTTTCTCTTGTATCTCATTGAGCTTCCTTACAACTCATATCTTAAATTCTTTATTTGTTATTTCAAAATTTTTATATTGGTTAGGATCCATTGCTAGGGAGCTGGTGTGATCCTTTGGGCATGTCAAAATACTGGTTTTTCGTACTTCCAGAGTGCTTATGCTGATTTCTTCTCATCTAGAGAACCCGTTACTTCTTACTTTTGAACTTACTCTCATTTGAATGGGATTTTTTCCCCCTTTGAAGGTGTGACTGTATGTTGTGTGTGATCATTTGGCTTCAATTTTGGGTGCCTTCCGTGGGTCACAGCTCTGTATGAGTTCCTTGGTCATAGATAGCTTTTGTGTGGTGGCTTTATTATGCTGTATAGATAGCTTTTGTGTGGTGGCTTTATTATGCTGATTGTAGTAGCAATGTATTGGGCATATGAGCAGGAATACTACCTTCTGAGGGGCTGGGAATGTGGAAGTCTCTGAAAGTTTATCTCATTCCCCAGCACTATACCCTCTGTCAGCCTGTTTTTTATTTGGTTGTGCAATTCAATCTGCATCCCAATAAAAGCTGGCTGTGGCATAAGCTGATGGGTACTTGGTCTTTGTTTTCTGGGAGGGGATCTCTGTTGTCACAGGCAGTTGGCTGGTCTGTGGATGGCCTGATTCCCTGAAGGGAACACAAAGCTTTGGAGGGGGACACAAAACTGAGGGGCACTAAACGACCAAGCTCACCCTGGGAAACCCCAATTATGAGCAGAAGCAACTGCCTTGATGGGAGTGGAAATGGGAGCTCATGGTGAAAGGCACTGATGTCTCCACCAGAGTGGGAAGGAGTATACCAGCTCCACATCCTGGGAAGGCAGGAAGGCAATCCACTTTCCTAAAACACCCTTGTCCCGGAGCTTGTGACCTTCAGTTCAGATAGACATTGTCCTTCATCTCCAGGCTGCAGTGTGATGGAGGTCTGCAGAAAACACCCGTCCTGTGGCTACCACCAAAATGGCCTTGGGATAGAACCTCTTCCCTCAGCAGCTCTGATATTCATCTGCATTCTGCTATGGGAATGCTGCTGCTCCATATGGGGAGGAGGATAAACTCTGCCCTTCGTGCAAGGCTTGGCCAGCAGGCACCCCATCAATGGGAGTGCAGCTGCCCCCAGGAGCCCTCAAAAGCCATCCCCAGGTGCACTTGTGCCAGCTCCCAGTAGGGACAGCCAACGGTCTATCTGGAGCATTGAGTGAGGGGGTAGGAGAAGACTCCCTTTCCATGTTTATTCCCAGGCACCAGTGTCACCTGCCTACTGGTGCAGAACCACACTCCTCCCCTTCAGACCCCAGAACCATGCCTGTGTCTCTGCTGGGAGGGGCACAGCCAGCCTCTTCTCACACGTGGGGAGCTCTTAGGCAGAGGAGAGCAAATGAACTGGTTTCTTTTATCCAAAGGAGTACGTTGGCACAGACACTCTCCCTTCTCCTAAGAGCTAGACTTCTAGGAATTCCATAGCTCCCCAGGGTCCCACCCGTCCCCTGTGGTTGCTGCAGTCTAAGTGGGTTCTGGGGAATGTTCATGGAGGATCTAGTGATGCAGAAACACAAGGGCTGGGATTCCTTGGGAAGAACAGACCCACAATGGGTGCATAACCAGTATGACACCTGCCACTTCAACTCAGGTTTTGGGGGAGAGCGAGTGTGCCTGCATGAGCTGGCCACCCAATGCTCTGCCCTAAAGAAGTTCCCAAATTGCCACTGACAGCAATGCCTGGGCTCACAGGTGCAGAGGGTTTCTCCAACAAGTTCAGCAGTCCATAGTCTGCCACAGGAGTGAGGGGAGCAACTTCCCCTCCTACCCTCTCCATGGGACTCTATGTTCCTTGGAAGTCAATCTCTGCAAAACTCTTGCTGTCTTCTTTTTCAGCACCACAGCTTTTTCCTGTGGGTTCCCCAATAGGTCATGTCACTCATTCCTCAGTATTCCACTCAGACCATGATTATTCAACTGCAATTTTGGTTCTTTGTTCTGAGGAGAACTGGTGTCCAATGTCTCTAGACAGCCATCTTGGGGAAAGGAAAACTCTACTTGTCTTTATAATTACTTTTACCAGTGAAACTTATACTTTTGTGTGCATTTGTGTTTCTGTTTAACCTCTTTTTATTTCAACCTCGAGAACTTCCTTTAGCACTTCTTGCAAGGTGGACCTAGTGGTGACAAACTCCCTCAGTATATGTTTGTCTGGGATAGTTTTTATCTCTCCTTCACTAATAAAAGACACATTGCTGGGTACAGAATTCCTGATTGACAGGTGGGTTTTTTTTTTTTTTCTTTCAGTACTTTGAATATATCATTTCATTCTCTCCTGGTCTGCAGGGTTTCCACTGAGAAATCTCGTGATAGTCTTTTGGAGGTTCTCTTTTATGTGACAAGTCAGTTTTCTCCTGCTGCTTTCAATTTTTTTTCTTTGTATTTGACTTTGGACAAACTAATTATAATGTGTTCAGTATAGACCTCTTTGGGTTTGTCCTATTTGGGAAATTTTGGGCTTCATGAATCTAGATATCTGTTTCCTTCCCTAAATTTGGGAAGTTTAAAGTTACTATTTCTTTAAATTTTTTAAATTACTTTAAATTCTACCCCCTTTTCTCTCTCTTCTACTTCTGGGACACCCATAATACACAGAAAGGTTTGCTTCATCGTGTCCCATAAGTCCCATAGGCTTTCTTTACTCTTTTTTATTCTTTTTTTCTTTTTGTTCCTCTGATTGGATAATTTCAAATGACCTGTCTATGAATTTGCTAATTCTTTCTTCCACTTGATTGAATCTCCTGTTGAAGTGCTCTATTCAGTTTTCAATTCAGTCCTTGAGGTCTTCAGTTCCAGGATTTTTGTGGGTTTTTTTTTTTATATAGTTTTTATTTCTTTGTTATACTTCTAATTTTGTTTATGTATTGTTTTCCTGATATTTTTTCATTGCCTTTCTGTGTTCTCCTGTATCTTGTTGAGCTTCTTTAAGATGATTATCTGAAATTATCTGTTGAGCAGATTGTGGTTTGGTTTGGTTCATTTCTTTTGGTTTGGTTACTGGAGCTTTATTAGATTTATTTCATGGTGTCATGTTTGCCTGATTCTTTATGATCCTTGTATGCTTGCATTGGTGAGTCTGCATTTGTACAAGCAGCCAGATCAGAGATTCTGGGTAGGTTGGCTGATAGGGTCAGCAGACAACCCGCTGTTGGTGACCACAGGTGGGCCTATTGCTGAAATCTGTGGGTAGGTTTGCTGCATGTGTGTGCTTGCTGCAGGTGTCCGCACATGGAGGACCTGCTGCTGGGGTACACATTTGAGCAGGCCTATTGCCATTGTCTGCAGGTGGGGTCTGCCTGCTGTCAGTATCTGCAGGTATATTTGGCTAATTGTTGTAGTGGTGGGTGGGTGGTGGGTGCTGCAGTAGGGGTCTGCAGGTGGGCAGGTTGCCTTGGAGTTTGTGGATGGAGAGGATCACCAACAGGTCTGCTAGTGTGCATGGTCACTGCTAGTTTGCAGGAGGTGGAGCTGTTTGAGTTCTGTTGACTAGCCTTCTATTGGGGCCCTGGATGGACAAGTCTGTTAATAAGGGAATAGGATTTCCTTCTCAATGAGGCTTTTTGCAGTCTTAAGTCCCCCAAGTGTTAGGAGAAAAGCTGAGTGTTGGGAGAGAAGCCAAGGCAGGGCTTGGAACAAGTCCACAGTGCAGAGTCTAAAACCCCTGGTGGCCTTGGGAATGTATCTAGACTTGCTGGCTCCTTGCTTCTAGCACTCCCATTATCTCAAGTAGCCATATGCTTCAAAGAAAATGCTAAACCATCACAGCTATAGCTCATTCACTTGATACACCACTTCCTTTCAACCCCCACATCCTCACCACCTGTTTCTTTGTTTGATCACCAATAAATAGCTTGGGCCTCCAGAGCTTGGGGCCTTCGCAGCCTCCATACTAGCAGTGGTCCCCTGGTGCCAATTTCTCAACTTGTCTTTTCTCATTCCTTTGACTCCACCAGACTTCGTAGCCCCCACAGCCTGGTGTTGGGTCTGATCACCCCAACACCAAGGAGCTGGAACCTTTTACTTGGATCCCAAATGTTTTATAAAGGCATTTTGTCCATGAATAGTTGTTAAATTGGTATTTCTGAGCAGGAAGGAAGGCTGGGGATCTTCTGTGCTGCTATCTTCTTGGTGTCATGAGACTATAATTATAATGTTTTGAAGAGTAAGGTTTTATCTTAAAATATTTACCACCTTGCTTTGCAACTAAGTTGCAAAGAAAGACAAATATAGGGATCCTGAAGTAAAACAAAACAAAACAAACAAACAAACAAACAAAGAAAACCCTGCCATACCTTATGTTCTGCAAAATCTTGAAGCTTGATAGTCTAAACCTGTAATCCTCCACCCCCTCTCTCCACCACAACCTCACAGAAAAGGTAGGATTGCTTATGCTCAGGTGCTATCTGTTGTTGCAATCTAATCTGTTCACTAGATTCTGCAACAATTGTCAATGGGCTGAATCCAATTCACATGCATATGCAGGTTCTATGAATGTCTAACCTAATAAAAATGACAAAGTGAGAGTGCTTGAAACTACCTTTTTGGATGAGAATTCTAGGCACTTTACTCTTTGTTTCTTTAAATATTAACACAATAAAGGAAAAACACTTCACTGTGTAGCTCTATTATTCACTAGAGAAAGGAGTGGTTAAAGAGAAACATCTCTACTGCATCCTGACTGGTATTACTTCTGTCTCCTGCATCATTTGAAACTACTGAGAAAGAGCATGTCTTTTAATCTTACTATTGATAACTGAGTCAAAGACAAAGAGGCAGAAAAAAATATGAAGCAAATGTTGGCGGGAAGTAAAGAGATACAACCATACTAATTTCAAAAAAACAGAATTTTCATCTAAAAGCATGACTTAAAAAATCGTTATAGAATCCATCTGATTTTATATGAAAATGATTTATATATTTATTGTGAAAATGTTAACATTGTGAGAAAAAAGTTTAAAATCACCAAAATGGGGATGGAGCCAAGATGGCCGAATAGGAACAGCTCCAGTCTACAGCTCCCAGTGTGAGCGACACAGAAGACGGGTGATTTCTGCATTTCCATCTGAGGTACCGGGTTCATCTCACTAGGGAGTGCCAGAGAGTGGTTGCAGGACAGTGGGTGCAGCGCACCATGCACGAGCCAAAGCAGGGCGAGGCATTCCCTCACTCAAGAGCACAAGGGGTCAGGGAGTTCCCTTTCCTAGTCAAAGAAAGGGGTGACAGATGGCACCTGGAAAATCGGGTCACTCCCACCCTAATACTGTGCTTTTCCAACAGGCTTAAAAAATGGCACACCAGGAGATTATATCCCGCACCTGGCTTGGAGGGGCCTACGCCCACGGAGTCTCGCTGATTGCTAGCACAGCAGTCTGAGATCAAATTGCAAGGTGGCAGTGAGGCTGGGGGAGGGGCATCTGCCATTGCCCAGGCTTGATTAGGTAAACAAAGCAGCCGGGAAGCTCGAACTGGGTGGAGCCCACCACAGCTCAAGGAGGCCTGCCTGCCTCTGTAGGCTCCACCTCTGGGGGCAGGGCACAGACAAACAAAAAGATAGCAGTAACCTCTGCAGACTTAAATGTCCCTGTCTGACAGCTTTGAAGAGAGTAGTGGTTCTCCCAGCACGCAGCTGGAGATCTGAGAACGGGCAGACTGCCTCCTCAAGTGGGTCCTTGACCCCAGAGCAGCCTAACTGGGAGGCACCCCCCAGTAGGGACAGACTGACACCTCACACGGCCGGGTACTCCTCTGAGACAAAACTTCCAGATGAACGATCACGCAGCAGCATTTGCGGTTCACCAAGATCCGCTGTTCTACAGCCACCGCTGCTGATACCCAGGCAAACAGGGTCTGGAGTGGACCTCTAGCAAACTCCAACAGACCTGCAGCTGAGGGTCCTATCTGTTAGAAGGAAAACTAACAAACAGAAAGGACATCCACACCAAAAACCCTTCTGTATGTCACCATCGTCAAAGACCAAAAGTAGATAAAACCACAAAGATGGGGAAAAAACAGAGCAGAAAAACTGGAAACTCTAAAAAGCAGAGTGCCTCTCCTCCTCCAAAGGAATGCAGCTCCTCACCAACAACGGAACAAAGCTGGACGGAGAATGACTTTGATGAGCTGAGATAAGAAGGCTTCAGAAGATCAAACTATTCGGAGCTACAGGAGGAAATTCAAACCAATGGCAAAGAAGTTTAAAACTGTGAAAAAAATTAGAGGAATGGATAACTAGAATAACCAATGCAGAGAAGTCCTTAAAGGAGCTGGTGGAGCTGAAAGCCAAGGCTCAAGAACTACGTGAAGAATGCAGAAGCCTCAGGAGCTGATGCGATCAACTGGAAGAAAGGGTATCAGTGATGGAAGATGAAATGAATGAAGTGAAGCGAGAAGGGAAGTTTAGAGAAAAAAGAATAAAAAGAAATGAACAAAGCCTCCAAGAAATATGGGACTATGTGAAAAGACCAAATCTATGTCTGATTGGTGTACCTGAAAGTGACATGGAGAATGGAACCAAGCTGGAAAACACTCTGCAGGATATTATCCAGGAGAACTTCCCCAATGTAGCAAGGCAGGCCAACATTCAAATTCAGGAAATACAGAGAACGCCACAAAGATACTCCTCGAGAAGAGCAACTCCAAGACACATAATTGTCAGATTCACCAAAGTTGAAATGAAGGAAAAAATGTTAAGGACAGCCAGAGAGAAAGGTCGGGTTACCCACAACGGGAAGCCCATCAGACCAACAGTGGATCTCTCAGCAGAAACTCTACAAGCCAGAAGAGAGTGGGGGCCAATATTCAGCATTCTTAAAGAAAAGAATTTTCAACCCAGAATTTCATATCCAGTCAAACTAAGCTTCATAAGTGAAGGAGAAATAAAATACTTTACAGACAAGCAAATGCTGAGAGATTTTGTCAACACCAGGCCTGCCCTAAAAGAGCTCCTGAAGGAAGCACTAAACATGGAAAGGAACAACTGGTACCAGCCACTGCAAAAACATGCCAAAATGTAAAGACCGTCAAGGCTAGGAAGAAACTGCATCAACTAACGAGCAAAATAACCAGCTAACATCATAATGACAGGACCAAATACACACATAACAATATTAACTTTAAACATAAGTGGGCTAAATGCTCCAATTAAAAGACACAGACTGGCAAATTGGATAAAGAGTCAAGACCCATCAGTGTGCTGTATTCAGGAAACCCATCTCACATGCAAAGACACACATAGGCTCCTTCGTAGAGGAAGATCTACCAAGCAAATGGAAAACAAAAAAAGGCAGGGGTTGCAATCCTAGTCTCTGATAAAACAGACTTTAAACCAACAAAGATCAAAAGAGACAAAGAAGGCCATGACATCATGGTAAAGGGATCAATTCAACAAGAAGAGCTAACTATCCTAAATATATACGCACCCAATACAGGAGCACCCAGATTCATAAAGCAAGTCCTTAGTGACCTACAAAGAGACTTAGACCCCCACACAATAATAATGGGAGACTTTAACACCCCACTGTCAACATTAGACAGATCAACAAGACAGAAAGTTAACAAGGATATCCAGGAATTGAACTCAGCTCTGCACCAAGCAGACCTAATAGACAACTACAGAACTCTCCACCCCAAATCAACAGAATATACATTTTTTTCAGCACCACACCACACCTATTCCAAAATTGACCACATAGTTGGAAGTAAAGCTCTCCTCAGCAAATGTAAAAGAACAGAAATTATAACAAACTGTCTCTCAGACCACAGTGCAATCAAACTAGAACTCAGGACTAAGAAACTCACTCAAAACTGCTCAACTACATGGAAATTGAAAAACCTGCTCCTGAATGACTACTGGGTACATAACGAAATGAAGGCAGAAATAAAGATGTTCTTTGAAACCAACGAGAACAAAGACACAACATACCAGAATCTCTGGGACACATTCAAAGCAGTGTGTAGAGGGAAATTTATAGCACTAAATGCCCACAAGAGAAAGCAGGAAAGATCCAAAATTGACACCCTAACGTCACAATTAAAAGAACTAGAAAAGCAAGAGCAAACACATTCAAAAGCTAGCAGAAGGCAAGAAATAACTAAAATCAGAGCAGAACTGAAGGAAATAGAGACACAAAAAACCCTTCAAAAAATTAATGAATCCAGGAGCTGGTTTTTTGAAAGGATCAACAAAATCGATAGACTGCTAGCAAGACTAATAAAGAAGAAAAGGGAGAAGAATCAAATAGACGCAATAAAAAATGATAAAGGGGATATCACCACCGATCCCACAGAAATACAAACTACCATCAGAGAATACTATAAACACCTCTACACAAATAAGCTAGAAAATCTGGAAGAAATGGATAAATTCCTCAACACATACACCCTCCCAAGACTAAACCAGGAAGAAGTTGAATCTCTGAATAGACCAATAACAGACTCTGAAATTGTGGCAATAATCAATAGCTTACCAACCAAAAAAAGTCCAGGACCAGATGGATTCACAGCCAAATTCTACCAGAGGTACAAGGAAGAGCTGGTACCATTCCTTCTGAAACTATTCCAATCAATAGAAAAAGAGGGAATCCTCCCTAACTCATTTTATGAGGCCAGCATCATCTTGATACCAAAGCCTGGCAGAAACACAACCAAAAAAGAGAATTTTAGACCAATATCCTTGATGAACATTGATGCAAAAATCCTCAATAAAATACTGGCAAACCGAATCCAGCAGCACGTCAAAAAGCTTATCCACCATGATCAAGTGGGCTTCATCCCTGGGATGCAAGGCTGGTTCAACATACACAAATCAATAAATGTAATCCAGCATATAAACAGAACCAAAGACAAAAACCACATGATTATCTCAATAGATGCAGAAAAGGCCTTTGACAAAATTCAACAACCTTCATGCTAAAAACTCTCAATAAATTTGGTATTGATGGGACATATCTCAAAATAATAAGAGCTATCTATGACAAACCCACAGCCAATATCATACTGAATGGGCAAAAACTGGAAGCATTCCCTTTGAAAACTGGCACAAGACAGGGATGCCCTCTCTCACCACTCCTATTCAACATAGTGTTGGAAGTTCTGGCCAGGGCAATTAGGCAGGAGAAGGAAATAAAGGGTATTCAATTAGGAAAAGAGGAAGTCAAATTGTCCCTGTTTGCAGATGGCATGATTGTATATCTAGAAAACCCCATCGTCTCAGCCCAAAATCTCCTTAAGCTGATAAGCAACTTCAGCAAAGTCTCAGGATACAAAATCAATGTACAAAAATCACAAGCATTCTTATACACCAATAACAGACAAACAGAGAGCCAAATCATGAGTGAACTCCCATTCACAATTGCTTCAAAGAGAATAAAATACCTAGGAATCCAACTTACAAGGGATGTGAAGCACCTCTTCAAGGAGAACTACAAACAACTGCTCAATGAAATAAAAGAGGATACAAACAAATGGAAGAACATTCCATGCTCATGGGTAGGAAGAATCAATATCGTGAAAATGGCCATACTGCCCATGGTAATTTATAGATTCAAGGCCATCCCCATCAAGCTACCAATGACTTTCTTCACAGAATTGGAAAAAACTACTTTAAAGTTCATATGGAACCAAAAAAGAGGCTGCATTGCCAAGTCAACCCTAAGCCAAAAGAACAAAGCTGGAGGCATCATGCTACCTGACTTCAAACTATACTACAAGGCTACAGTAACCAAAACAGCATGGTACTGGTACCAAAACAGAGATATAGATCAATGGAACAGAACAGAGCCCTCAGAAATAATGCCGCATATCTGCAACCATCTGATCTTTGACAAACCTGACAAAAACAAGCAATGGGGAAAGGATTCCCTATTTAATAAATGGTGCTGGGAAAACTGGCTAGCCATAAGTAGAAAGCTGAAACTGGATCCCTTCCTTACACCTTATACAAAAATTAATTCAAGATGGATTAAAGACTTGCATGTTAGACCTAAAACCATAAAAACCCTAGAAGAAAACCTAGGCAATACCATTCAGGACATAGGCTTGGGCAAGGACTTCATGTCTAAAACACCAAAAGCAATGGCAACAAAAGCCAGAATTGACAAATGGGATCTAATTAAACTAAAGAGCTTCTGCACGGCAAAAGAAACTACCATCAGAGTGAACAGGTAACCTATAAAATGGGACAAAATTTTTGCAACCTACTCATCTGATAAAGGGCTAATATGCAGAATCTACAATCAACTCAAACAAATTTACAAGAAAAAAAACAACTCCATCAAAAAGTGGGTGAAGGATATGAACAGACACTTCTCAAAAGAAGACATTTATGCAGTCAACAAACACATGAAAAAATGCTCGTCATCACTGGCCATCAGAGAAATGCAAATCAAAACCACAGTGAGATACCATCTCACACCAGTTAGAATGGCGATCATTAAAAAGTCAGGAAACAACAGGTGCTGGAGAGGATGTAGAGAAATAGGAACACTTTTACACTGTTGGTGGGACTGTAAACTTGTTCAACCATTGTGGAAGTCAGTGTGGTGATTCCTCAGGGATCTAGAACTAGAAATACCATTTGACCCAGCCATCCCATTACTGGGTATATACCCAAAGGATTATAAATCATGCTGCTATAAAGACACATACACACGTATGTTTATTGTGGCACTATTCACAATAGCAAAGACTTGGAACCAACCCAAATGTCCAACAATGATAGACTGGATTAAGAAAATGTGGCACATATACACCATGGAATACTATGCAGCCATAAAAAAGGATGAGTTCATGTCCTTTGTAGGGACATGGATGAAACTGGAAACCATCATTCTCAGCAAACTATCGCAAGGACAAAAAAACCAAACACCACATGTTCTCACTCATAGGTGGGAATTGAACAATGAGATCACATGGACACAGGAAGGGGAACATCACACTGTGGGGACTGTTGTGGGGTGGGGGGAGGGGGGAGGGATAGCATTAGGAGATATACCTAATGCTAAATGATGAGTTAATGGGTGCAGCACACCAACATGGCACATGTATACATATGTAACAAACCTGCACATTGTGCACATGTACCCTAAAACTTAAAGTATAATAATAATTAAAAAAAATCACCAAAACTCCACCTTTCTTAGACAATCAATTTTAACATTTTGGTGATCATGTCTTTATTATTTTCTCTATGTATATGTGAATCTGTGCTCTGTGTATGTAAATATACACACAAGTGAATATTTTTATATATACTTACATACAAAATATACATTATATGATGAAAATCATGTAATGCATCCTATTTTTTCCTTATTAATAGCTTTATAATTTTCTAAAGCTATTTTTTAGTTCTTCTCCTGTCTTCCTCTCCTCCATTCACCTGTCTTATGTTTTTTAACTCCATTGTCCTCCACAACCAAGTAACATTTTCCATGTGGACCTCTTTACATTCACTTGTCTATGCTTCTACAGTCATTTATCAGCATATATGCATATATTTATGCTTGTAAGTGTGTTGGGAGAGTTTCCATTTTTTAAGGATCATATTAAACTTGCTTCTATTTGTTAAATTTTTCTTTTTAACAATACGTTGTAAAAATGTATTCAACTCCGTGCATATAAATTTAACCCACTCTTTTTTAGAGCAGTATAATTTTGCCTGGTGTAAATTTATCAAAACCTTTTCAATGATATTTCTATTAAAGTTGACTCTTTCAGGTTTTATAACCATGAAAAGTATTACAATAAACTTCTTTGTCTCTATTCTATCTGTGTATATATCTATCTATCATTTATCTATCAGTCTACCATCTGTCTACCTACCTTTCCTTATTCCTGGTGTCTTTGTTTCTATTAAAAAGATTTCCAGCTGGGCACAGTGGTTCACATCTGTAATCCTAGCATTTTGGGAGTCTGAAGTGAGAGGATTCTTTGAGGCCAGGAGTTTGACACAAGCCTTGGCAACATAGAGAGACCTTGTCTCTGCAAAAAATTAAAAAATTAGCTGGGCATGGTGATACATTCCTGCAGTCCTAGCTACTTGGCAGGCTGAATCTGGGAGGCTGGAGGATCAATTGAACCCAGGAGTTCAAGGCTGCAGTGAGCTATGACCACCACTGCACTCTAGCCTGAGTGAGAGTGAGACCGTGTCTCTTAAAAAAAAAAAAAAAACTAGGAGTGAGACTCCTGGATTGGAAGGTATATGCATTTTCATTTTAATAAATATTGCCAGAGGCTTTCAAAAACCTAGTATGTTATCTATTTCAACCAAGAATGTCAGAGTACCTATCCTAGCATAAGTGCTAATTCTAAAGTATTGCTTTTTCATTTTTGTGAATATGATGAATGAGGATTAAAATCTGATTGCTATTTTAGTTTGCATTTCTATGATTATTAGTGAGGTTGAATATCCTGTCATGTATTTATGACCATTTGGATTTTCACTTCTCTAAAACAACATTTACATAATCTCCTTTGTCCCTGTTTCTATTTGATTATTTGCACATTTTAGGAGCTTATTATATAGAGTGAGCTTGTGTTTAACTCCCACTTATAAATGAGAACATGTGGTACTTATTTTTCCATTCCCATGTTAATTCACTCTAGGATAGTGGCCTCCAGTTGCACCCATGTTGCTGCAAAGGACATGATTTCATTCTTTTTTATTGCTGTGTAGTATTCCATAGTGCATATGTATCCCATTTTCTTTTTTATCTGTATCTCTCTAATCCACCTGGCATTCACTCGATTTCCCCATATTTCCTTCTTTCCTGTTCCTCACCCTGATCATACTTGGTTTATTGATGGCAGTTCCACCAGGCCTAATCACCATTCACCAGCAAAGGCAGGCTATGCTATAGTATCTTCCACACCTATCATTGAGGCTACCACTCTGCCCCCCTCCACTACCTCTCAGCAAGTTGAACTCATTGCCCTAACTCGAGCCCTCACTCTTGCAAAAGGACTACTCATCAATATTTATACTGACTCTAAATATGCCTTCCATATCCTGCACCACCATACTGTTATATGGGCAGAAAGAGGTTTCCTCGCTACACAAGGGTCCTCTATCATTAATGCCTCTTTAATAAAAACTCTTCTAAAGGTCGCTTTACTTCCAAAGGAAACTGGAGTCATTCACTGCAAGGGCCATCAAAAGGCATCAGATCCCATTGCTCAGGGCAGCACTTATACTGATAAGGTAGCTAAAAAAGCAGCTAGCATTCCAACTTCTATCCCTCATGGCAGTTTTTCTCCTTCTCATCAGACACTCCCACCTACTCCCCCACTGAAACTTCCACCTATCAGTCTTCCCACACAAGGCAAATGGTTCTTGGACCAAGGAAAATATCTCCTTCCAGCCTCACAGGCCCATTCTATTCTGTTGTCATTTCATAACCTCTTCCTTGTAGGTTACAAGCCGCTAGCCCGCCTCTTAGAACCTCTTATTTCCTTTCCATCATGGAAATCTATCCTCAAAATATCACTTCTCAATGTTCCATCTGCTATTCTACTACTCCTCAGGAACTTGTCAGGCCCCGCTCCCTTCCCTACACATTAAGCTTGAGAATTTGCCCCTGCCCAGGTCTGGCAAATTGACTTTACTCACATGCCTTGAGTCAGGAAACTAAAATACCTCTTGGTCTAGGGAGACAGTTTCACTGGATGGGTAGAGGCCTTTCCCACAGGGTCTGAGAAGGCCACCACAGTCATTTCTCCCCTTCTGTCAGACATAATTCCTTGGTTTGGCCTTCCCACCTCTATACAGTCCAATAATGGACCAGCCTTTATTAGTCAAATCACCCAAACAGTTTCTCAGGCTTTTGGTATTCAGTGGAATCTTCATACACTTTACTGTCCTCAATCTTCAGGAAAGGTAGAATGGACTAATGGTCTTTTAAAAACACACCTCACCAAGCTCAGCCTCCAACTTAAAAAGGAGGACTCTGTCAAGTATAGAGCCCAAAAACTCACCAACCAAGCTGAACCCCCTTGGGCACTCTCTAATTGGATGTCCTGGGTCCTCCCAATTCTTAGTCCTTTAATACCTGTTTTTCTCCTTCTCTTATTCGGACCTTGTGTCTTCCATTTAGTTTCTCAATTCATCCAAAACCATATCCAGGCCATCACCAATCATTCTATATGACAAATGTTTCTTCTAACAACCCCACAATATCACCCCTTACCACAAAATCTTCCTTCAGCTTAATCTCTCCCACTCTAGGTTCCCACATCGCCCCTAATCCCGCTCGAAGCAGCCCTGAGAAACATCACCATTATCTCTCCATACCACCCTCCAAAATTTTCACCACCCCAACACTTTACCACTATTTCATTTTATTTTTCTTTTTTTTTTTTTAATTTTTTATTTTTTATTTTTTATTTTTAATGTTTTTTTTTTATTATACTCTAAGTTTTAGGGTACATGTGCACATTGTGCAGGTTAGTTACATATGTATACATGTGCCATGCTGGTGCGCTGCACCCACTAACGTGTCATCTAGCATTAGGTATATCTCCCAATGCTATCCCTCCCCCCTCCCCCGACCCCACCACAGTCCCCAGAGTGTGATATTCCCCTTCCTGTGTCCATGTGATCTCATTGTTCAATTCCCACCTATGAGTGAGAATATGCGGTGTTTGGTTTTTTGTTCTTGCGATAGTTTACTGAGAATGATGGTTTCCAATTTCATCCATGTCCCTACAAAGGACATGAACTCATCATTTTTTATGGCTGCATAGTAGTCCATGGTGTATATGTGCCACATTTTCTTAATCCAGTCTATCATTGTTGGACATTTGGGTTGGTTCCAAGTCTTTGCTATTGTGAATAGTGCCTCAATAAACATACGTGTGCATGTGTCTTTATAGCAGCATGATTTATAGTCCTTTGGGTATATACCCAGTAATGGGATGGCTGGGTCAAATGGTATTTCTAGTTCTAGATCCCTGAGGAATCGCCACACTGACTTCCACAATGGTTGAACTAGTTTACAGTCCCACCAACAGTGTAAAAGTGTTCCTATTTCTCCACATCCTCTCCAGCACCTGTTGTTTCCTGACTTTTTAATGATTGCCATTCTAACTGGTGTGAGATGATATCTCATAGTGGTTTTGATTTGCATTTCTCTGATGGCCAGTGATGATGAGCATTTCTTCATGTGTTTTTTGGCTGCATAAATGTCTTCTTTTGAGAAGTGTCTGTTCATGTCCTTCGCCCACTTTTTGATGGGGTTGTTTGTTTTTTTCTTGTAAATTTGTTTGAGTTCATTGTAGATTGTGGATATTAGCCCTTTGTCAGATGAGTAGGTTGCGAAAATTTTCTCCCATGTTGTAGATTGCCTGTTCACTCTGATGGTAGTTTCTTTTGCCGTGCAGAAGCTCTTTAGTTTAATTAGATCCCATTTGTCAATTTTGGCTTTTGTTGCCATTGCTTTTGATGTTTTGGACATGAAGTCCTTGCCCATGCCTATGTCCTGAATGGTAATGCCTAGGTTTTCTTCTAGGGTTTTTATGGTTTTAGGTCTAACATTTAAATCTTTAATCCATCTTGAATTGATTTTTGTATAAGGTGTAAGGAAGGGATCCAGTTTCAGCTTTCTACATATGGCTAGCCAGTTTTCCCAGCACCATTTATTAAATAGGGAATCCTTTCCCCATTGCTTGTTTTTCTCAGGTTTGTCTTTGAAAACTGGCACAAGACAGGGATGCCCTCTCTCACTGCTCCTATTCAACATAGTGTTGGACGTTCTGGCCAGGGCAATCAGGCAGGAGAAGGAAATAAAGGGTATTCAATTAGGAAAAGAGGAAGTCAAATTGTCCCTGTTTGCAGACGACATGATTGTTTATCTAGAAAACCCCATCGTCTCAGCCCAAAATCTCCTTAAGCTGATAAGCAACTTCAGCAAAGTCTCAGGATACAAAATCAATGTACAAAAATCACAAGCATTCTTATACACCAACAACAGACAAACAGAGAGCCAAATCATGAGTGAACTCCCATTCACAATTGCTTCAAAGAGAAGAAAATACCTAGGAATCCAACTTACAAGGGATGTGAAGGACCTCTTCAAGGAGAACTACAAACCACTGCTCAATGAAATAAAAGAGGACACAAACAAATGGAAGAACATTCCATGCTCATGGGTAGGAAGAATCAATATCGTGAAAATGGCCATACTGCCCAAGGTAATTTACAGATTCAATGCCATCCCCATCAAGCTACCAATGACTTTCTTCACAGAATTGGAAAAAACTACTTTAAAGTTCATATGGAACCAAAAAAGAGCCCGCATCGCCAAGTCAATCCTAAGCCAAAAGAACAAAGCTGGAGGCATCACACTACCTGACTTCAAATTATACTACAAGGCTACAGTAACCAAAACAGCATGGTACTGGTACCAAAACAGAGATATAGATCAATGGAACAGAACAGAGCCCTCAGAAATAATGCCGCATATCTACAACTATCTGATCTTTATTTTTCTTATTAATATAAGAAGACAGGAATGTCAGGCCTCTGAGCCCAGGCCTGCACGTATACATCCAGATGGCCTGAAGTAACTGAAGAATCACAAAAGAAGTGAAAATGGCCTGTTCCTGCCTTAACTGATGACATTACATTGTGAAATTCCTTCTCCTGGCTCAGAAGCTCCCCCAATGAGCACCTTGTGACCCCCGCCCCTGCCTGCCAGAGAACAACCCCCTTTGACTGTAATTTTCCACTACCTACCCAAATCCTATAAAACAGCCCCACCCCTATCTCCCTTCACTGACTCTCTTTTCTGACTCAGCCCACCTGCGCCCAGGTGAAATAAACAGCCTTATTGCTCAGAAAAAAAAAAAAAAGTTATTGATACATAATAGTTGTACATATTTATGGAGTATATGTGATATCTTGACTCATGCATACAATATATAATGGTCAAGTCAGGATAATCGGGATATCCATAACCTCAAATAGTTATGATTTCCCTTTGTTGGGAATTTTTAAAAATAATTTCAACTTTTATTTTAGATTTAGGGTGTACCTGTGCAGGTTGTTACATGGGTATATTGTATGATGCTGAGGTTTACGGTACTATTATACCCACTTCCCAGGTAGTGAGCATGGTACCCAGTAGTTTTTCAACACTTTCCCCCTCCCCAGTGTCTATTGCTGCCATCTTTATGTCCATGAGTATCCAATGTTTACTCCTATTTACCAGTGAGAACATGCAGTATTTGGTTTTCTTTTGCTACATTAATTCTCTTAGGATAATGGCCTCCAGTTCTATCCATGTTGCTGCAAAGGACATGATTTTATTCTTTTTTATAGCTGTGTGGTATTCCATGATGTATGTATACCACAGTTTCATTATCCGGTCCACTGTTGATAGGCATCTAGGCTGATTTCATGTCTTTGCTATTGTGAATAGTGTTGCAATGAATATATGAATGCATGTGTCTTTTCAGTGGAATTATTTATTTTCTTTTTGATATATACCCAGTAATGAGACTGTGTCAAAAGTAGTTCTGGGTCAAAAAGTAGTTCTAAGTTCTTTGAAAAACATCCAGACTGCTTTTCACAATGGCTGAACTAATTTACATTCCCACCAACAGTGTGTAAGCATTCCCTTTTCTCTGCAGCCTTCCCGACATCATATTTTTTTTTCTTTTTCATGATAGTCGTTCTGACTGGTGTAAGATGGTATCTCATGGTTCTTATTTGCATTTATCTGATGATTAGTGATATTGAGCATTTTTTCATATGTTTTTTTGGCCACACTTATTTTGAAAAGTGTTTGCTCATGTCCTTTGCCCACTTTTTAATGGGGTTGTTTTTTGCCTGTTAATTTAAGTTCCTTATAAATTCTGGATATAAGGCCGGTCATGGTGGCTCATGCCTATAATTCCAGCACTTTGGGAGGCTGGGGTGGGCGGATCACCTGAGATCAGGAGTTCGAGACCGGCCTGACCAACATAGTGGAATGCAGTCTCCAATAAAAAATAAAAAATAAGGGCCAGGCATGGTGGCTCAAGCCTGTAATCCCAGCACTTTGGGAGGCCGAGGCCTGTGGATCACAAGGTCAGGAGTTAGAGACCAGCCTGACCAACATGGTGAAACCCTGTCTCTACTAAATATACAAAAATTAGCCTGGCATGGTGGCAGGCGCCTGTAATCCCAGCTACTTGAGAGACTGAGGCAGGGGAATCACTTGAAACTGAAAGTGGGAGGTTGCAGTGAGCTGAGATTGCATCACTGCACCCCAGCCTAGGGGAAAGAGCAAAACTCCGTCTCAAAAGAAAAAAAAAATCTGGATATTAGACCTTTATCAGATGCGTAGTTCGTGAATATTTTCATTTTCTCCACATCCTCAACAACACTTATTATCCTTTGTCTTTTTTTATAGTAGCCATTTTAAAAGGAGTGAAGTTGTATCTGATAGTAGTTTTAATTTCCATTTTCTCAATGATTACTGATATAGAATTTTTTTTATATACCTCTTGGCCTCTGTATGTCTTCTTTTGAGAAATGTCTGTTCAGATCATTTCACATTTTAAATCAGCCTATTGTTTTCTGGTTATGGAGTATTTGAGTTCCTTATATAGTAACCCTTTATCAGATGTAGAGTTTGCAAATATTTTCTCCCATTCTGTAGGTTCTTTTAACTCTGATGTTTGTTCTTTGTTATACAGAAGGCTTTTAATTTGAAGTAATCATATTTGTCTATTTTTGCTTTGATTGCCCTTGCTTTTGGGGTCACATCCAAAAAATAATTGCCCAGACCAATGTCATGGACTGTTCCCCGTGTTTTCTTCTAGTAGTTTTTTCAGGTCCTATATTTACTCTTTAACTCATTTTCAGTTGATTTTAGTGTATGGTATGAAATAAGTTTCTAATTTCAATCTTCTGCATGTGGACCTCCAGTTTTCCCAACATCATTTGTTGAAGAGACTGTTGTCTCCCCATTGAGTGTTCTTGGCATCTTTTTCAAAAATCAGTTGGCTGAGAATGCATGAATTTATTTTTGGGTTCTCTGTTCTGTTCTGTTTATGTCTCTGGTTTTATGCCAGTACCATGCTGTTTTGGTTACTACAGCTTTGTAGTATGTTTTGAAGTCAGGTAGTATCATGCTTCCAGCTGCATTCTTTTAGCTCCAGATTTCATTGGTTATTTGAAGTCTCCTTTGGTTCCATATGAATTTTAGGATTATTTTTTCTACTTCTGTGAAGAATAGCTCATATTTTAATAGGAACTTTATTGAATCTGTAGATCATTTTTGGTAGTATGGTCATTTTAACGGTATTAATTTTTTCAAACTGTGAACATGGGATATCTTTTCATTTTTGTGATCTCTTCAATTTCTTTCATTAATGTTTTACAGTTTGCCTTGTAGAGATCTTTTATCTCCTCATTTAAATTTATTACTATGTATTTTATTTATTTTGTAGCTATTGAAATAGGATTGCTTTTTTATTTCTTTTTCAAGTAGTTCATTGTTGGCATATGGAAATGCTGCTGATTTTTGTCTGCTAATTTTGCATCCTACAACTTTACTGAATTTATCAGTTCTAAGAGTTTTTTTGTAAATTCTTTAGGTTTTTCTATTTATAAGATCATGTCATCTGCAAACACATAAAATTTGATTTCCTTCTTTCCAATTTGGATGTCTTTTAATTATTTCTCTTACCTAATTGTTCTGCCTAGAACATCATCCAATACTGGGTTGAATTAAAGTGGTGAGAGTGGGCATCCTTGTCTTGTTCTAGTTTCTAGAGGAAAATACTTCAGCTTTTCCCTATTCAGCATAATGCTACCTGTGGGTTTGTTATATGTAGTCTTTATTGCATTCATGTATGCTTCTTTCATATCTAGTTTGTTGAAGATTTTTATCATGAAAGGATATTAAATTTTATCAAATGCTTTTTCTGTGTCTATTGAGACTGTCATTTTCTTTTTGTCCATCATTTTGTAAGTGTTATGTATCATGTTGATTGGTTTGCATATGTCAAACCATCCCTGCAATAAATCCCAATTGATTATGGTGAATGATATTTTTAATGTATTGTTGAATTCTGTTTGCTAGTATTTATTTTGAGGAATTTTGCATCTCTGTTCATCAGAAATACTGGCCTATGGTTTTCTTTTTTTGTTGTGCCCTTTTCATGTTTTGGTATGAGGGTAACGTCATCATAGAATGAGTATAAAAGAATTTCTTCCACTTCAATTTTCTGGAAAAGTTTGAGAAGAATTGGTATTAGTTCTTTCTTAAATATCTGGCATAATTCAGCAATAAAGCCATCAGGTCCTTGGCTTTTCTTTGATGGGACACTTTTTATTAGTGATTCAATCTTGTAGCTCGTAATTGGTCTGTCCAGATTTTCTACTACTTCTTGGTTCAATCTTGGTGGTTGTATGTGTCCAGAAATTTTTCCATTTCCATTAGGCTTTCCAATTTATTGGCATATAGTTGCTCATAATAGTCTTTAATGACCTCTTCTATTTCTATGGTATCAATTGTAATGTCCCTGTTCATTTGCGGGAATGCTCTTATATGTGACTTTATGCTTTTCTCTTGCTGTTTTTAGATTCCCTCTTTGTCTTTGAATTTGATAGTTTGAATATAATGAGCCTTGGAATTGACCGTTTTGGGTTGAATCTATTTGGAAATGTTTGACCTTCATGTACCTGGATGTCTATATCTCTTGCAAGACTTAAGAAGTTTTTAGCTATTATTTTGTTTAATAGGTTTTCTATGCCTTTGTTCATCTTTTTTCCTTCTGGAATCCATAGGAAGATGACCCTCCACCTCCCAAACTCCCTTTCAATGAGGATTAATTTCAGACCCTGTTTGACATGCTGCAAAGCTCACCAGGGCATCATCTTTAGGAGAAAGGTATCAGTCTTATTACACCAATTCAGGCCTCCTCTCTTGGATGCAAAGTTAGTATAATGCAAAGGATGGGGGAACAAGAAACACAATAAATTGGAGAGCAAAACTAAGGCAAGAAGAAGCCACAGGCACTTTAAAACACAAAGAGGGCTGGGCACTGTGGCTCACACCTGTAATCCCAGACCTTTGGGAGGCCAAGGCAGGCGGGTCACAAGGTCAGGAGTTCAAGACCAGCCTGACCAACATAGTGAAACCCCGTCTCTACTAAAAATACAAAAAATTAGCCAGGCATGGTGGTGGGCACCTGTAATCCCAGCTACTCAGGAGGCTGAGGCAGGAGAATCACTTGAACCCAGGAGGCGGAGGTTGCAGTGAGCAGAGATCACACCACTGCACTCCAGCCTGGGCGACAGTGTGAGACTCTGTCTCAAAACACACACACAGACACACACACACACACACACACACGGAGCATTTTGACTCAGTCCTGTGGATAGCACCTAACTTCCATCCTCACTTCATGACCTAGATAATTGTTTCTAAGCTCCATATTGCCCCTAGAGAAAGCATGGGAACCAGGCTGTGAATGATTTCCCTGAATCCTGAATAACAAAAACATTTTCATGGCAAATATGATCTCCTCTCCATGACCATCACTTCCTTGGAAGTCTGTACCACGTACAAACTGGAACCAAACCAAGGTAATGAGAAAAGGTGAAAAGGGGACTTGTCCAGACTTTTCTCCCTTTTGGCAAGTTCAAAAGTCAAACCTGAAGGCGGGCAAATGGGCAGAACATGGGAGGATGCTAGATTTTCTCATCCTGTGAATTCATGACAAGGAGTTTTTATCCTAGCTCTGAGAGTTCCAAATGGGAACTGGAAGTTACTTCACTCTCCATCTCTCAAGGATTGACTCAATGAGCTTATATCCATCCATAATACTGAGCTGTTATCATGTGTGAGTTTCCCTTTAAACATTGAAACAGAAAGAAAATGACAGTAAAAGTTACAATAGCCCCTCCATGAAATCATTAAACAAAGTCTATGAACATTAATATTCCCACTTTGTTAGCATTTTTGTTAGTATTAACATGCATATCATGAAGCTTCCCTTTTTATTATAAATAAATTGTACATCAAGTTCAAGCCTCTTGGTTGTGTTTCTTCATTTGTGTTTTTTCTTTTCTATTTTTGTAACTTCCAAGGATACATCATGGATCTTCAAGCTGTAGGGGAGTTTCCACTGGTACATTAAAAATATCTTTGAAGGCCAGGCGCAGTGGCTTACATCTGTAATCCCAGCACTTTGGGAGGCCGAGGCAGGTGAATCACAATGTCAGGAGTTCAAGACCAGCCTGGCCAACATGGTGAAACCCCATCTCTACTAAAAATACAAAAATTAGCCAGGCGCAGTGATGGGTGCCTGTAATCCCAGCTACTCAGGAGGCTTAGGCAGGAGAACTGCTTGAACCTGGGAGGGAGAATTTGCAGTGAGCCGGGATCCCGCCACTGCACTCCAGCCTAGGCGACAGAGCAAGACTCTGTCTCAAAAAAAAAAAAAAAAAAAAGTCTTAGAAAACGAAATGTTAATTTCCTTGTGTTATTTTATCAATATACCCTCTGTCCCATCTTTTTTACAATTCCATTAGTCCTTTGCATTGTCTCCTTTCATATATACATGTGAGAGCAAGGACAGGGTACCCAGCTCTAGTTCATAGCTTGCATCTACAAAGGTGCCAGTCTGGAATAACACCACAGTGTCATGCAGTGAACTTCTTGGGATGACTCTGGATGCATTATGCCAAAGGGTTTCTTTGGTTTGTGTATGCAGAGCACAAGTGCCAGAAAATTCTAAACTCATTTTTTACTGGTGGATTACTCCAAGTAGAGGATACTTTTCCACATAATGCTGATTACGTTAACTGTGAAATTAGGATCTCTGTGTGTTTCACAGACAGACAGACACACACCCACACACACACAAATAGTAGCATCACAGATTCCCCTTAAATAAGCTGAAAAATTTATTTGACAGCATTAGGACTATGCCGTTAGTTGTTTTATTCTCAATTATACCCCCAGATATTTTTTATTTTTATTTATTTATTTTTTTTCTGAGACAGAGTCTTGCGCTGTTGCCCAGGCTGCAGTGCAGTGGCACGATCTCGGCTCACTGCAAGCTCTGCCTCCTGAGTTGACGCCATTCTCCTGCCTCCGCCTCCCGAGTAGCTGGGACTACAGGCACCTGCCACCACGCCCAGCTAATTTTTTTTTGTATTTTTAGTAGAGACGGGGTTTCTCGATCTCCTGACCTCATGATCTGCCCGCCTCAGCCTCCCAAAGTTTTGGGATTACAGGTGTGAGCCACCACACCCAGCCACCCCCAGATATTTTTTATATGCCATCAGAGATGAGACAGTCTAGTATTTCTAGTCATGCCTATATTTTCAAGAGTGATGTGATCATAGTTCTCTGGTTCATTAAAAAAATCTGATATTGGCCAATTTTAAGATACATACAAAATATATCTCTATGTATATATACCTCTCCATCTATCTCTAAATGCATATAAAGTGTATCTCTCTGTGTCTATATCTACTTCAACAATCCCGTCACCTCTCCTCATCACACCCTTCTATTCTTGTTTGTATATATACAGATGTGCCTACAGCTAATGTTGAAAGAGGAGGAGTCTTTTCTTTGGCAGAAATGCCGAGACCAGCTCGGTCAGGGAGACCTCTAACCCAGCAGTGCTAGAGGAATTAAACATACACACACAGAAATATAGAGGTGTAAAGTGGGAAATCAGGGGTCTCACAGCCTTCAGAGCATTAATTAGCATTGTTTCTATAGACATTCGATTAACTAAAAGTATCCCTTATGGGAAACAAAGGGATGGGCCGAAATAAAGGGGTGGATCTGGCTACTCTGAGTAATTTAAAAGGAAAGGGCTCAAATGTAGCTATAATATTTCCCTGTTGATCTGGGGGGGTGTATTCCAACAGGGAATCACCAAGCCTCTAAATCACTCTCTCATCTAGCTTGCTGAATTCCTGCCTGACTAGAACTAAGAGCAGTCGCTCTAGGTGCTGCTCGAACAGTCACTGGGGCAACTACTTTTTGCCCAGTGTCCTCCGGAAAAGAAAGATCTGGAAGGTCATTTTCTTCAAAATAATAAGGAGGGGGTGCAGAAGGGTAGGGATGAACCTCTCCCTCCTTTGCCACTTTAGCTTCAGCTGGTAAATAAAACTGCTCTGTAACCTCTTCTGTTACTTTGTTATACTCTCCTTCCTCCTCCTCATCAGTGTGAAAAAGTTCCTAGGTGGAATGAACCAGACCCCACACTTGTCCCATTGTTACCCTGATGCTTCCAAGCTCCCCTTCTTACTCACCACGGGGATTGCTTTAAGAGTACTCAGGTGTCCTCCAGCTTAGTTCCACATTCTCCAACTGTTGCTCCGGCGACCCTTCGACCTGGATTTGAGTCCCCATGATGGACACCACTTGCTGAGACCAGCTCAGTCGGGGAGACCCTAACCCAGCGGCACTAGAGGAATTAAACCCACACACACAGAAACAGAATTGTAAAGTGGGAAATCAGGGGTCTCACAGCCTTCAGAGCTGAGAGCCCTGAACAGAGATTTAACCACGTATTTATTAACAGCAAGCCAGTCATTAGCATTGTTTGTATAGATATTCGATTAACTAAAAGTATCCTTTATGGGAAAGGAAGGCATGGGCCCAAATAAAGAGGTGGGTCTGGCTAGTCATCTGCAGCAGGAACATGCCCTTAAAGCACAGATTGCTCATGCTATTGTTTGTGGCTTAAGAATGCCTTTAAGCGGTTTTCCACCCTGGGTGGGCCAGGTGTTCCTTGCCCTCATTCCAGTAAACCCACAACCTTCCAGCGTGGGTGTTATGGTTATCATGAACATGTTACAGTGCTGCAGAGATTTTGTTTATGGCCAGTTTTGGGGCCAGTTTATGGCCAGATTTTGGGGGGCCTGTTCCCAACACAGAAGTGGTGGGCTATACCTTGTGAAACAAGAGTTCTGGATACAGTGGCCTTAAGAAAAACAAGTTTCTCTTTTGGCAAAAGAATCAAAGTGATGGCCTTTGGTTCTGAAAGGAAAGAGTGACTCCAGTAGCATGAGGACTTTAAGATTTGGGGAAACTTGAATTGCCAAAGGCAATAAATGGTGCTGAAAGCTGGAGTTCAGCTGGTTTTGTGGTCCTGGTCAGCCAGCCCAAAGAAGCCTGAGATCCAGGCTTGCACAGTGGATCCTATCCCATCACCTGACAGCCTGTGCAAAAACACATCTGCATGCTCCCAGAAGTCCCTGGCTACTGAGTCAATCATATCTACTGCTCTGGGAAACCACAGAGTTTGGGAGGGTGAGTGATAAAATGGCTGTTGAAGGAAGTCTGGTGCCAGAAGAGTGATGGCACCACCACTGCCACTGCTGCCAGAGTCCAAGTCCAGGCTGGAAAAAAAGGGCTTTTCTCAGTAAAGCCATCTGCACCTAAAGGGAAAAACCCTGAGGATTCAACAAGAGCATAATGAAGCTTTCCACCTCCCCCTTCTGAGAACTGGGGACAAGAAGTCTTCAAAACCAAGTTATGGGACTAGCAGGCCACTTCTAGTTCAAGTGGCATGGGTCATTGGGTGCTGCCTGGCAACCATCCTCTCAGAGTGGGTGATATGGTTTGGCTGTGTCCCCACCCAAATCTCAAGTTGAATTGTATCTCCCAGAATTCCCACATGTTGTGGGAGGGACCCAGGAGGAGGTAATTGAATCATGAGGGCTGGTCTTTCCCATGGTTTTCTCATGATAGTGTATAAGTCTCATGAGATCTGGTGGATTTATCAAGGGTTTCTGCTTTTCCTTCTTCCTCATTTTCTCTTGATGGCAGCCATGTAAGAAGTGCCTTTCTCCTCCCACCATAATTCTGAGGCCTCCCCAGACACGTGGAACTGTAAATCCAATTAAGCCTCTTTTTCTTCCCAGTCTTGCATATGTCTTTATCAGCAGCATGAAAACAGACTAATACAGTGGGGAAGAAACTATAGGTGTGAGACGTGGCCATTTCACCTCTGGAGCCAAACTCAGCTTAGTTCCTGGCTGGGTGCCAAGGATTTATTCTTTAGCAAAAGTCTCTGCAATTAGTGACCCTCAATCAAGATCTTTTTACCCTGTGGAATCCCTCCCAACCACAGGACTCACTGTATTGGTGCTCTGCTCACAAACAAGCCCCAGCTGAAACCTGAGGCCAGAGAGCAACCTACTAGCTGTGAAGAATCCTAGAGTTCCACAGGACATTACTTCTATTAATACTCATAATGTTTCATTTAGTTCAAGCAAGCAGCTTTTCTGATACTCAATCATAAACAAACAACAACAACACACACATACACACACACAGTGCTCACACATGCACAAAGCAACATTGTAATCTATTTGATGTATCTAGTTTCACAGGTAATCAGTCTCATTTACAAATCAATCTGGCTAGTTTTTCTTGTCCTCATGGTAATATAAGGAACTTGTGTTTTTCAGGTATCTGTGGTGAAAGAGCCCTCTTGCCAGCTGGAATTATTTAAATGTAGCAATTTTCATCCAGTCATTGCTTTACAACACAGATGTGATATCCACAGCCTACTAAGGAGTTGTTACAGATTTTTTTCCATTTATACATGAAGTAGGTCTTCAGATTTACTTCTTTTTTTTCCTTTCTTTTCCACCTTTCTTTCTTCCTCTCTTTCTTTCATTATCTTCAATTTTGAGGAAAGTTTTATTTTTCAGTAAAGAGATCTTGCATGATACCTCACATCTTTCATTTAACCTGTTCTCCAGCACCACCCTTCTCCCAGCTTATTAAGCAGTGCAATCTTTGTCTGAGTTCAAGAATTTCTTGACTTACCCTGACAGTAGCACTCAAGAACAGGTGAGCCTAACCACTTGCAGTCTGTTTACCTTTTCTTTAAAGTGAAAAGGAGGATGTCCCATTTTTTGCCTTTTGGTTTTTATCAGATGATATAGCTTTGCCATAATTTGTAGTTACAGTAGATTAGTTACCATCTGTCCAAGATGCAATGCTGTTTGGTATAATCTATGGGACCTAACATAGGGGTGCAAGGATGGTTCAACACATGCAAATCAACAAATGTAATACATCACAACAATAGTGTGAAGGAAATATCCATGTGATCATCTCAATAGATGCAGAAAAAGTATTTGATAAAATTAAACATTCTTTCATCATAAGAGATATTACATTCATCACAACAAATTAGGCATATGCTGGGTGCAGTGGCTCATGCCTGTAATCCTAGCACTTTGGGAGGCCAACGTGGGTGGATCACTTGAGTTCAGGAGTTCAACACCAGCATGGGCAACATGATGAAACCCCATCTCTACAAAAATTACAAAAATTAGCCAGGTGTGGTGGCACATGCCTGTAGTCTCAGCTACTTGGGAGGCTGAGGTGGGAGGATCACTTGTGCCTGGGAGGTTGAGGCTGCAGTGAGTCAAGATTGTGCCACTGCACTCTAGCCTGGGCAGCAGAGTGACACCCTGTCTCAAAAAAAAAAAAAAAAAAAAAAAAAAGGTATAGAATGAATGTACCTCAACAAAATAAAGGCCTTATATGACAAATCTACAGGTAACATCATTCTCAATGGTGAAATTCTAAAATGTTTTCCTTGAAGATTAGAAACAAGACAAGGATGTACACTCTTGTTACTTCTATTTATCAAAATACTGGAAATCCTAGCCAGCTCAATTAGGCAATAAAAAGAAAGAAAAGGCACCCAAATGAAAGAAAGAAAGAAAGAAAGAAGTAAAATTGTCTGTCTGCAGATTACATTATCTTATATTTAAACCCTAAAGACTCCACCAAAAAACTGTTAGAATAAATAAATTCGGTAAAGTTTCAGGATACAAAACCAAAGTGCAAAAATCGGTTGCAATTTAAATACTATCAACAAACTATCAGAAACAAAAATTAAGAAAACAATCTTAAATAGCATCAAAATGTTAAACTATCTAAAAATATCATGAGAAAACATAAACCAGAAAATAAAAAATAAATAAAATATCTAGGAATAAATTTAACCAAGCAGGTGAATGATCTGTACACTGAAAAACAATAAAACATTGATAAAAAATTGAATCAGGAAGCAGAGCAAGATGGCCAGAGCCCTCCAATGATCATTCCCCATGCCCTGCAGGAACACCAACCTGGACAACTATCCGCACAAAAAAACACCTTCATAAGAACCAAAAATCAGGTGAGCAATCACAGTACATGGTTTTAACGTCATATCAAGGACAGAGGCAGTGAAGAGGGAAGGAAAGAGTCTTGAATTGCCTACACTACCCCCATTCACTGGCAGCATCAAGTGGTATGAGAGAGATCTGTGTACTTGGGAGAGAGAGAGCAAAGTGATTATGGAACTTTGCATTGGAATGCTGTCACAGCAGAAAGCAACACAGGACACAGTTCAGCCAGCACTCACAGAGGAAGCATTTAGACCAGCCCTAGCCAAAGAGGAATTGTCCATTCCAGGGGTCAGAATCTGGATAGACCCACCACCATGGGATGAAGTACTCTGGGATCCTAAATAAACTTGAAAGGCAGTCTAGACACAAGGACTGAAATTCCTGGGCAAGTCCCTATGCTAGCTGGGCTCAGAGCCAGTGGACTTGCTTGAGGTGTAGGTGACCCAGTGAGATATCACCTGGAGTGGCCAAGAAAGTGCTTGCCTCACTCCTCCCCGCCAACTCCAGGCAGTGCAGCTCACAAATGTGGGAGAAAAAAGAGTAAAGGGGACTTTGTCTTGCAACTTGAATACCAGCTCAGCCACAGTAAAATAAAGCACCAAGCAGAGTCCTGAAGCCCCAATTCTAAGCCATAGCTCCCAGATGAAATTTCTAGACTCATCTTGGGCCTGAAGAAAACCCACTGCCCTCAAGGAAAGAAGCCAGTCCTTGCAGAATTCACCCCCTGCTAACTAAAGAGCCCTTGGGCCCTGAATAAACATCAGTGGTAACCAGGCAGTAAGTACCATGGATTTTGGATGAGACTCAGTACCTTGCTGGCATCATGTGCAACCCAGCACATTCCCAGCTCTGGTGGCCACAGGGAGGGACTCCTGCTTGAGGAAAGGAAAGGGAAAAGTAAAAAGGACTTTGTCTTGTAACTTGGGTACCAGCTCAGTCTCGGTAAAATAAAGCATCAAGCAGATTCCTAAAATCCCCAATCCCAGGCCCTAGCTCCGAGATGGCATTTATAGACTCACCCTGAGACAGAAGGTAAATTGCTGCACTGAAGAGAAAAATTCAGTCCTGGCCAGGATTCATCACCTGCTGACTACAGAGCCCTTGAACATTGAATAAACATCAGTGGTAGCCAGGAAATTGTCACCAGAGGCCTTAGGTGGGACCCAGTACTGTGCTGGCTTCAGGTGTGACCCAGCACAATCCCAGCAGTGATGGCTATGGGAGTGCTTGTGTCACCCCTTCCTCAACTCCAGGCACCTCAGCATGGAGAGAAAGACTTTGTCTGTTTGGGAGAAGGTATGGGAAGAGAACAAGAGACTGTCTGGTAATCCAGGGACTTCTCTCAGATTTCACCCAAGACCACTAAGGTGATACTTTTATGGGTCTGCAAGAGTCACAGCATTACTGAGTTTGGGGTTCCCCCTATTGTGTATTTGGCTGCAGTGACCAAATAATTCGATTACGACGCTCATTTCCCTTTGAATACTTGAAAAGCCTTCTCAAGAAGGACAAGTACAAACCAGCCCACACTGAAAAGATTAAATACCTAACTCTTTAATGCCCAGACACTGGCAAATATCCACAAGCATCAAGACCACCAAGGAGAACATGACCTCACCAAACTAAATAAGGCATCAGTGACCAACTCCAGAGTTAGAGAGATATGTGACCTTTTACACAGAGAATTCAAAATAGCTGTTTTAAGAAATCTCAATGAAATCCAAGGTAATACAGAGAGGGAATTCAGAATCCTGTTAAATATATTTAACAAAAAGATTGAAGTAATTTAAAAGAATCGAGCAGAGATTCTGCAGCTGAAAAATTCAATTGACACACTGAAGAATGCATTAGAGTCTCTCAACAGCAGAATTAACCAAGCAGAAGAAAGAATTAGTCAGCTTGAAGACAGGCTATTTGAAAATACACAGGGGAGTCAAAAGAAAAAAGAAAATAATGAAATTTATAAAATAGCTTCAAAAAGGCAAATATAAGTTATTGGTCTTAAAGTGGAGGTAGAGAGGGAAATCAGAGTAAAAAGTTTATTCAAGGAGATAATAACAGATAACTTCCCAAACCTAGAGAAAAATATCAATATTCAAGTGTAAGAAACCTATATAGGCCGGGCGGCGTGAGGGCTGGGGAACCTCCTCCCCGCCTGGGCACCCCGACCTTCGCGGCCCAGATCCTCCCGCCAGCCCAGCCCAGGGGGAGCGAGGCGACGGTTGCCGGGAAGCGCGCAGCACCCCTCCCTCCCATTCTTCGTCCTCCCCTGGCGCACCGCCCGTTTTTCCTCTTTCTCCGTTAAAAACAACTGGGTGGCTGTGGGAAGAGGGAAGGTGGCGCCGGCGGAGTCTGGGCAGGCGCCTCCCACTCAGCCGCCAGCAGCCCTGGGAGCCGGAGGATGGCTGCGGTAGCAGCCACAGCCCCAGAGGAGGCGGTGCCCGACGCCCGGGGCGCCCAGCGCGCCCAGACCGGCAGTGGCCTTCATGGCGCACCAGAACCTAAACCAGAGGCAGCCACACGGACACCTGAGCCGCCTCTTCCTGCTAGAGCCAGCGAGGTGTGCCCGCAGCCGAGACCCCTTCCTCTCCACGTCTCCTCGTCTCCTTGTCTCCCGTGCCCGCGTCAGGCCGCCAGCCTCGCCCACCTCCCCAGGAAGAGCGCGCCGGGCGCCGACTTCCCCTGGGGCGGCGGCCCTGGACGTGCGGGGGGTCTCTCTGGGCCGGCTGCTGCGCCTTGGCCCTGCCCTCTAGCTCCCGCGCTCGCTCCCGCCCTCCTGGCTCTCCGGGCGCGCCTGGCGGGGCAGGGCGGACATGGGCACCAAGCAGAGGAGCCGCACGCGCACGTACTGGGGCTCGGATCTACCTTCCAGTAGCAACGGAGGAGCCAATGGGACCGCGGGCGGCGGCGGGGGCGCTCGGGCCACCGCGGGGCGGTTCCCGGCTCAGGTGCCCAGTGGGCACCAGCCCAGCGCCTCGGGCGGCGCTGCTGCGAAGGCCCTGGCAGCCCCGCGCAGCCGCTCCCGCGGCGGGGCCGTGGGGAGCGTGGCTTTGGGGGCCCGCGCAGCGCAGTCCTCCTTCAGCATGCCGAACAGTAGCAGCGGCCTATAGGGCTTACAGGACTCGGTGCACAGCAGCGCTGAGGAAGGTGGCGCGGCCGGTCCAGGCCGGTGGGCGGGAGCCCCGCCATGCAATGCCTGGTGATCAGCACCTTCCAGCTCACCTCTTGCCGCCCATGTTTGGAGGTGCTGAGAAACATGTCTGTTCTTCAAGAGCCAGCTAATCATTTTTACCAAGTATGATAATTAGCTGCCCTGATTCAGATACCATTTCCTTATTGTGACATAGGGGTGACTACTGTCAGAAAACCCTGAAAATGTTTTAAAACAAGAACTAATGGAGCTTGGCGATTCTTGCCACGCTTTTCCAGAGCTCGGACCTTGCTATTATTTGCTACTGGGCACCCACAAACCCTTGCTTATTAAACTGATCTCCTTCAAGACTCAAGAAAAGCGCCATGCGGCTCCCTCCTAGGGCTCTCCTGCCCTCTCCACACCAAAGCCCAGAGTGGTCTTCCTGGAGAACTGAGGCGCCTGCAGTTTGTGCACCTTTTCCTGGAGCTGCGCCAGGAAATTATGTAACAACTGGAAGCAGCCCAGAAGGGTCTTGGCAATCACGTCCAGCTGCAAGCCATTTGGAGGTCTCAGATTGCGCACCTCCTCCCGCCCCCTGGCAGGTTCCCTCTGCCTAGGGTCCAAAGCTACAGAGGCAGCCCGGACTCTTCCACCTCCTCCTCCATCTCTGGCTCCCTGGCTTGGGAGGCCCCTCAGCTTCAACTGGCTGGGGCGGGAAGATTGAAATGGCTGTGGAGCCGCTGCTTTTGAGCTTACTCCTCGTTTGCCCAACTATTTTCTCATAGTTCCTGTTCTGGTGGAGCTGGGTCAATTTCCCACGCAGCCCAGCCCAGTAGGGCGAGGTCTGGAAAGGCCTCACTGGCCTCGCAGCCTCAACTACTTGTACCGGCCACCGCAGCGGCTGCGGACCTCCCAGTCGTCATGGCGACTGTGAAATGTGGGGTGGAGGGCGTGCAGTCAAACCATTTCGCCCGGGCAGTCCCTGCATGTCCCCCAACGTGCTCTCCAGCGGCGCGCAGCACCCCAGCCTCCGCGCGTCCCCGAGCGTGCAGCCTTCCGTGAGGGCAGCCCCATGCACAGCCCCCCAAACCCTCCCCCACGCCTGCAGCCCCCCGATGTGCGCAGTCCCCAAGCCCGCACGTGCAGTTCCCACATTGCGCGCAGCTCCACCTACAGCCCCCCACACTCTCCCAGCCCCACTGGCGCAGAACCCATCACCGCTCGCCCTTCATGCGCTTCACTGGGCATGCAGCCCCGGGAGCACGCAGCTCCACGCAGCCTCTCCGCATGCTCCCCAGCGCCTGCGGCCTCCTCTTAACAACTTTTGCCAGGACCATACATACCTGCCCGTGGGCTGAGTGGATTGGCAATGACAATGGTGACAGCTGACATTTACTGAGTACATGCTGTGTTCCAGATGCTACATCTCCATTTCTTAGATGAAGAATCTAAGTCTCAGGGCCTCATCCAAAACCATACAGCTAATAAGCAGTACAGTTAGGATCTAAGCCCAGGGAATTTTACTCTAGAACTGACAGTATTAATCACAGTGCTCTCTTGGCTTATATTTCTAAGGCATATGCTGTAACCACTATATATATATATGTATATGAGATGGGGTTTCACTCTGACACCCAGGCTGGAGTGCAGTGGCGCGATCTCGGCTCACTGCAACCTTCGCCTCCCAGATTCAAGGGATTCTCCTGCCTCAGCCTCCTGAGTAGCTGGGATTACAGGCACGTGCCACCATGCCCGTATAATTTTTTGTATTTTTAGTAGAGATAGGGTTTCGCCATGTTGCCCAGGCTGGTCTCAAACTCCTGACCTCAGGTGATCCACCCGCCTCGGCCTTCCAAAGTGCTGGGATTACAGGCGTGAGCCGCTGCTCCCTGCCTATAACCATTCTTTTTTAGGGAGGTGTGGTAGATGGTGCTACCCTGGATCTGTAGTCAGGATTTGAAGAAGGGAGAAGGTATTTGCTTGTGAAGAAGGCACCATGCATTGTGCTCAGTAGTGGTGACTGGAGAGAGAGCTGGGAGGGGCACAGGCAGCAAGGTCCCTGCTTAAAGGCAGTTATCTAGTTTGGAGAAACTTAGCTGGATAGTCAGTTCTAACATGCATTTGGCAAGCACTTATCATGCACTGTAAAGAGGCAATGTGTCTAGTTTGTTAGAGGGTGGGCTCTGGAGTCAGACTCCTGGCTTTGAACCCCAACTTCCCTGCCATTTTCAAATGACACTGGAGAAGTCACAAAACCTATTTCTGTCTCAGATTCCTCCCCAGTAAGAGTGGGATGTTAATAGTACCTCCTTTGGCTTGATATGAAAATTCAATAAGTTGATATATGCAGAACATCTTAGAACAGCGACTACCTTAGAGTAAATCTTCAGTAAGTATAAACTAATTATACTATGTTTTTGGCACTGAAGCCACGTCGCAGTGAGTAAGACAGTTCCTGACCTCAAGAATCTCAGAGTCTAGTACTGGAGACAGGTAAACAAATACTTGCAAAGTGTGTGGTGTGAGAGAGGTGTGACGGGTGGGCGGGAGCCTGCAGCAGGCACGTCTGACTCATCCTAGGTGTGTATAGGGCAGAGAAGTTAGTCTAGGCTTTCTAGGGGCACTGATGTCTGGGCCAAGTCTTGCAGGGCAGGGAGCTAGTCAGGGGGAGCTGTAGTGATCCAGCTGGGGACTGAGCAGGAGGTGAAAGTGAGCAGCTCGCATCTGTAGCGTTGCCAGATTTAGCAACGGAAAGTACAGGATGCCCTATTAAATGTGAATTTCAGATAAAATAATAACTTTTAAGAATAAGTATGTGTCATGCAATGTTTTTAGTATAAGTATGTCCCAAATATTGTATAACCACACAAATTATTTGTTATTTATCTGAAATTCAAATTTCACTGGGCATCCTATGAAAAGTCTGGCAATTTTATCTGTCCACATTTAGGAAGGTGCAGTGTGTTTCAGAGTAGCTGGAGTGATGCAAGGAGGAAAGGCAGAGTGGGCCGGATGGGGCTGAGAGGCATGCAGGAGGCAGTTCATAAAAGACCTATTCTATGTTAAGGGATTTGGATTTTATCCTGAAATTAATGATGAGCCCTTGGAGAGCTTTAGCCACAGGGATGTGAAACTGTAGCGATATCAGTGTCAGGCATGATGAAATGAGTGTTAGTTTCTATGGCTGAATAGCAAATTACTCCAAATTTAGAGTCTTAAAACAGTAAACATTTATTATCTCACAGTTTCTGTGTCTCAGGAATTCAGAGGCAACTTAGCTGGGTGGTTCTGGCTGAGGTTTCTCATGAGGTTGTAGACAAGATGATGACCAGAGTGGCAGTTATCTAAAGGATACACTGGAGCTGGAGAATTTGCTTCTAAGGTGACTCACTCTAATGGTTGGGAAGGCACTGCTGGCTGTCAGCAGGAGAGCTCAGTTCCTTGCCACAGGGACCCACCACAAGACAACTTGAGCCTCCTCACAACATGATAGCTGCCTTAGTGATCCGAGACAGCAAAGTGACCTTAACTTTGGAAGTCATATGCCACCTTGTCATTCCCATATATCCTAGTGCTAACACAGCTCAGCCCTGCTCAGTGCAGAAGGGTCCTACACAACGATGTACATACAAGGAGGTGGGGATCATGGGTCATCTTGGAGGCTGCTTATCTGGGATGGGAGGCTTACATGGTGATGCCTGTGACCTTGGAAGTGGAGGAGAATGATGGGCGTACAGAAGAGTGGAGAAAGGCTGGGAGGAATAGAGATGTGGCAGAGGAGGGGAGGCAAAGAAAAAAGAAAGGGGGAAGGGATGTTGGAGCAGATTGTAGTCTGTCTGCAGCAAAGAGCATCACCAAAGCCATTCTAAGGGAACTAGATCCACCTCCTTCTCTCCTGGGCATGCCCCAAAGATGGTTGTGGCCTCCAGAGAGGACCCCAAAAGAAAGCACAAAAACTAGACAGTGGGAGGGCAGTACCCAAAAGCCCTGAGTTTCTGAGCAAAATATTGAAAGTTTCTATGGTGAAATAGGAAGGTAACACGCTTAGGAAGAAAAAAGTGGTAATGATTCAAGGAAACATAATCACACACAGTTTCAGTCTTAATGGACAGGGGAGGACCCATAAAAGTAATCTATCATCTATCAATTATATCAACTGTCTATCTGTGATACCCTACCCTGTTTTAACCTGAGTGACTCTCTCTTAGCTGAGAGAGCCGGACAGACTCCATTTTAGCTTCTTCACTTGCAGCCCCCTTATCCCCCCTCCCTTAGGGGAATAACTAGTGCAAGCTGACTCCAAGCACATCCAGGAATGCACTTACTGATAAGATATTGAGGCAAGCTGTACCAGCAGCTGCTGGGGATGTGCTCAGTGGATGGTACCCAAGCCCCTGCATTTATCTCTTTGTGATAGTTTAAGCCCCTGCACCTGGAACTGTTTATATTTCTGTAACTATCTCTGTAACCATTAATTTTTTTAAACTTTTTGCCTGTTCTGCTTCCGTAAAAATTGCTTCAGCTAGGCTCCCCATCCCCTATTTAGATCACAGTATAAAAAGAAATCTAGCCCCTTCTTCAGGGCCGAGAGAATTTTGAGCTCTAGCCATCTCTCGGTTGCCGGCAGTAAAAGGACACCTGAATTAAAAAAAAGAAAAAAAGAAAAAGAAACTTATGGGATACCAAGCAGATTTAACCCAAATAAGACTACCTCAAGATATTTAATAATCAGATTTCCAAATGTCAAAGATGAAGAAAGGATCCTAAAAGCAGCAAGATATAAGAAAAAGATAACATATAAAGGCGCAACACATCTGGCAGTAGATTTCTCAGTGGAAACCTTACAGGCCAAGAGAGAGTGGCATTATATATGTAAAGTGCTGGAGGAAAAACTTGTATTCTACAATATTAAATCCAGTGAAAATATCCTTCAAACATGAAGGAGAAATACTTTCCCAGACAAATAAAATCTTAGGGATTTTATCAACACCAGACTTATCCTACAGGAAATGTTAAAGGGAGTTCTTCGATCTGAAAAAAGAAAGGATGTTAACAAGCAATAAGACATCTGGCTGGGCGCAGTGGCTCACGCCTATAATCACAGCCCTTTGGGAGGCTGAGGCGGGTGGATCACAAGGTCAGGAGTTCAAGGCCAGCCGGGTGAAAGTCCGTCTCTACTAAAACTACAAAAATTAGCCAGGTGTGGTGGCAGGCAACTGTAATCCCATCTACTCATGAGGCTGAGTCAGGAGAATCACTTGAACCCAGGAGGCAAAGGTTCCAGTGAGCTGAGATCATGCCACTGCATTACAGCTTGGGTGACAGAACAAGACTCCATCTCAAAAAAAAAGAAAAGAAAAAGAATCTGAAGATACAAAACTCACTGGTAACAATAAGTACATAGATAAATATAGAATATTATAACACTGTAATTGTAGTGTGTAAAATACTAATGCCTTGAGTAGGAATACTAAAAAATGAACCTATCAAAAATAATAAGTATAACAACTTTTTAAGACACAGCAAGTATAATAAGATATAAATAGAAACTAAAAAGTTAAAAAGTGGGAGAATGAAGTTAAAGGGTAGAGTTTTATTTGTTTTCTCTTTGCTTGTTTGTTGCTTGTTTTTGCAATAAGAGGTAAGTTGTCAACAGTTTAAAACATGGGTTATAAAATGTTATTTGCAAGCCTTGTGGTAACCTCAAATCACAGATACACAAAAAAATATAAAACAAGAAATTAAAACATATCATGAGAAAAAATCACTTTCCCAAAAAGGCAGATAGGAAGGAAGAATGAGAAGACCACACAATGACCAGAAAACAAATAGCAAAATGGCAGCAGTAAATCCTACTTATTAATAATAAAATTAAATGTAAATGGACTAAACTCTCCAATCAAAAGACATAGAGTAGCTGAATGGATTAAAAAGACAAGATCCACACTTTGGGAGGCCGAGGCAGGTGGATCTCAAGGTCAGGGGTTCGAGACCAGCCTGACCAACATGGTGAAACCCCATCTCTACTAAAAATACAAAAAATAACTGGGTGTGGTGGCAGGTGCCTGTAATCCCAGCTACTCAGAAGGCTGAGGCAGGAGAATTGCTTGAACCTGGGAGGCAGAGGTTGCAGTGAGCTGAGATCATGCCATTGCACTCCAGCCTGGGCGACAGAGCGAGACTCCATCTCAGGAAAAAAAAAAAAAAAAAGACAAGATCCAATGACCTGTTGCCTACAAGAAACACATTTCACCTATAAAGATACACATAGATAAAATAAAGGGATGGAAAAATATACTCCATGCAAATGGAATTCCATGCAAATTGAGAAGGGCAGGAGTAGCTACACTTACAGAGATAAAAATAAAGTTCAAGATAAAAACTATAAAAAGAGACAAAGAAGGTCATTATATAATGATTAAGGGATTGATTCAGCCAGAGGATGTACCAATTGTAAATATACCTACACCCATCCCTGGAGTACCCAAGTATATATAAAGCAAATACTATTTGAGCTAAATAGAGAGAGAGACTCCAATGCAATAATAGTTGGAGACTTTAACATTCCACTTTCAGCATTGGACAGATCATCCAGACAGAAAATCAATAAAGAAACATAAGACTTAATCTGAACTACAGACCAAATGGACTTAACAGATATTTACAGAATAACTCATCAAATGGCTACAGAATACACATTCTTTTCCTCAACACATAGATTATTCTCAAGGATACACCATATGTTAGGCCACAAAACAAGTCACAAAATATTCAAAAAAATGGAAATTATATTAAGTATCTTATCTGACAAAAAAAGAAATAAAACTAAAAATCAATAACAAGAGAAACTTTGAAAACTGTTAAACAATAAACAATATGGCCTGTATAACCAATGAGTCATTGAAGAAATTAAGAAGGAACTTTAAAAATTTCTTGAAATGGCCAGACACAGTGGCTCATGCCTGTAATCCCAACAATTTGGGATGCCAGGATGGGCAGATCACCTGAGGTTGGGAGTTCAAGATCAGCCTGACCAACATGGAGAAACCCCATCTCTACTAAAAATACAAAATTAGTCAGGCATGGTGGCACATGCCTGTAATCCCAGCTACCCAGGAGGCTGAGGCAGGAGAATCACTTGAACCCAGGAGGCGGAGGTTGCGGTGAGCCGAGATTGCACCCTTGCACTCCAGCCTGGGTAACAAGAGCAAAACTCTGTCTCAAAAAAAAAAATTACTGAAACATGAAAAGGGAAACACAACACACTGAAACATATGGATGGGATATGGCAAAAACAGTAATAAGAGAAAAGTTTATAGCAGTAAGCACCTACATCACAAAAGTAGAAAAACTTCAAATAGACAACCTAAAGATGAATCTTAAAGAACTAGAAAAGCAAGAGCAACCAAACCTAAAATTAGTAGAAAAAGAAATAATAAGGGACAGAGCAGAAATAAATAAAATTGAAATAAAAAATGAAAGATAAATAAAATGAAATATTGGTTTTCTAAAAAAACAAAACAAAAGCAGCAAACTTTTAGCCAGACTAATGAAGAAAAAAGAGAGGAAGCCCAAATAAATAAAATCAGAGATGAAAAAGGAGACATTACAACCAATATTCAGAAATAGAGATACAACAGAAATTCAAAGGCTCATTAGAGACTATGGGTAACCATACACCAATAAATTGGAAAACCTAGAAGAATGGATAAATTCATAGACACATACAAGCTACCAAATTCAACCTTGAAGAAATTCAAAACCTGAATAGACAAACACCAAATAAAAAGATTGAAGCCATGATAAAAAGTCTCACAGCAAAGAAAAACCTAGGACCCAGTGGCTTCACTGCTGAATTCTACCAAACATTTAAAGAAGTAATAGCAATCCTACTCAGACTATTCTGAAAAAAATAGAGGAAGAGGGAATTTTTTCAAATGTATGCTACAAGGCCATTATTGCCTTGATACCAAAACCAGACAAAGACTCTATACTTAAAAAAAAAAAGAAAAGAAAACTACAGGACAATATCTCTGATGAATATTGATGCAAAAATCCTCAACACAATCCTAGCAACCCAAATTCAACAACACACTAAAAAAAATTCATTATGACCAAGTGGGATTCATCCCAGGAATGCAAGGATGGTTCAACAGGTAGAAATCAATTAATGTGATATATTATATTAACAGAATGAAAGACAAAAACCATAGGATGTCAGGTGATGCTGAAAATTATTTGATAAAATGTAATATCCCTTTATGATAAAAAGGATATGATAGAAGGAACATACCTTAACATAATAAAAGGTGTATAAGACAGACCCACAGCTAGTATCATACTGTACAGTAAAAAACTAAAAGCCCTTCCTTTAAGATCTGGAAAGTGACATGGATGCCCACTTTCACAACCGTTAATCAACATAGTACTGGAAGTCTCTAGTTGGAACTTCCAGTTTTGGAAGATAAGAGAAAGAAAGAAAAGGCATCCAAATTGGAGAAGAAGAAGTCAAATTATGCTTATTTGCAGATGATATGATCTCATATTTGGAAAAATCTAAAGACTCCACAAAAAAACAATTAGAACTGATAAATTCAGTAAAGTTGCAGGACACAAAACTAACATACAAAAATCAGTAGCATTTCTATGTGCCAGTAGCGAACAATCTGAAAAAGAAATCAAGAAAGTAATTCCATTTACAATAGTTTCAAATATAATAAAATACCTAGGAATAAACTTAACCAAAGAAGTGAAAGATCTCTAAAATGAAAACTATAAAATATTAATGCAAGAAATTGAAGAGGAAACACACAAAAAATGGAATGACATTCTGTGTTCATAGATTAGGATAAACAATATTGTTAAAATGTCTATACTACCCACAGCAGTCTACAGATTCAATGCAATCCCCATCAAGATACCAATGACAATCTTCATAGAAATAGAAAAAATTATTCTGAAATTATATGTAACCACAGAAGACCCAGAATAGCAAATGCCACCCTGAACAAAAAGAATAAAACTGGAAGAATCACATTGCCTGACTTCAAATTATACTACTGAGCTGTAGTAACCAAAACAGAAAGAGACTGGCA